>NC_000008.11:32587375-32890405 GCF_000001405.40 Homo sapiens
CCAACAGTGATGGCCAGATAAGAGAAATACAGAACATGAAAACTTCAAAGTAAAGATAATACGACTTACTTGACAATTTTCCAGTTAGATTTACATGTCATTTTTGTTAGTGTCTGATGGCAGAGCGGCATAAGAGTCCTAGCCCAGTGGCATGCAGAACACAAACAATGTCACAGGGCCTCACGATTCCAAATAATAAAAAGTCATAGAGAAGATAGATGGGGCCTCTGGAATCATTTTGTACCTGGGTTTCTTCTTTGTCAGCATCTTCCAGATTCTTCCTCATCCTTTCAGCAGACACTTGAAGTCCTACTTTGGGTTAGGAGAGCCTGAGATCCTGTATATCTTCCATTCAATAAATTCAGAAATTTTGATGTTTAGGTATAGTATCAATCCAAATGGACACATACACAGTCAGGAAATAGCCTAACCCTCCAAATAGAGACTGTGACCCCCTGCTATTAACTTGCTGACCCTTGTTTGATTTCGTAGGGATAAATTCCTTGAATGGCCCTCTGTTTGTACATGTGGGTTTTTTTGTTTTGTTTTGTTTTGTTTTGTTTTGTTTTTTGAGACGGACTCTTGCCCTGTCACCCAGGCTGGAGTGCAGTGGTGTGCCCACTGCAATCTCTGCCTCCCCAGTTCAAATGATTCTCGTGCCTCGGCCTCCCTAGTAACTGGGATTACAGATGTGTGCCACAATGCTTGGCTAATTTTTGTATTTTTAGTAGAGATGGCGTTTCACCATGTTGGTCAGGCTGGCCTTGAACTCTTGATCTCAAGTGATCCATCTGCCTCGGCCTCCCAAAGAGCTGGGATTGCAGGTATGAGCCACCAGCGCCCAGCCCTCTACATGTTTTTTAAGTGCAGTCAGTTGAGTATGGTTTTCAGATGGAGAATCTGATTAATCATCTTCAATGGCCTTAGCATAAGCATTCTATTTAACTGAGCTGATTGTGGCTCATACCCTCAAATCAAATATCTTAAAGAATCATACTGTTTCAGTCATCGTGTAGCAGTTAATTGTGAGAAGTGAAACTTGGAGGACATCCGTATGTAAAATCCCCCACCAAAGGAAACCAATATGTTTGGGAAATCAAAATGAAGCACTAGTAAGAAGCCAACTCTGGCTGTAGTGGCACCACTGTGATGAGTGTTAGCATAAAATGCTGAAATACTGCCCCCAATTTTATTCTTTTATGTTGTATAATGAAACGTTCTATGCATGTTATGTGCTTGCAAAGAAATTATTCAGTAGTTCATATACACATCGTTGGATTACATAAGGAGCTGGACATGGAACTGCTAGAATGGAATTTCCAGAGTCCAGCCATCTTAACCCTACTTTGAAGCCTATTCCCAGTGTGTTTGCTGGTTGGATTTAGTTTGCTGCCAGTGGTAAAGAGAGTCAGCTTGAGAATATATTATAACAAAATACTGAATTTTATGGCAACTTTTATTTCAAATGAAGGTGCCATCCTCCTTCCTCAGTAGTCAGGGACAAATAGCAGCTCCATTCCAGCTCACAGGGAACCCTATTTAACTTGAATCAAGAACATTCTGTCTAAGCCTGATTCAGCTAGAGCACAGGGCGGGGTGAGCACAACATCACCACAGGTGGCAACAAATAATGATCTTGTTGGGCGATTCGGGATATAACCCAACATCACCCACTGCGTCAGTAGCAGGGCATTAAAACCTAGCTGCATTCCGAAATACCATTACCACTAGAATGTGCTGCCTTTTACACAGCTATATTTACACATTTGATAAGACAAACTTTCCCTTTTATAGCCAAATTTGTGAGTGCAGCTCAGAAGAGAAGACCAGATGGAAGAGCACAAAGTTTATCCACTCTGTTGCAGGACTGTAATCAACTTCGTGAGATAGTACAAGGAGAGAGAAATATGACTGGGGGAGTTTTGGAGACTCTCCATAGTAATTTATCTACTTCTAACATGACTATTAACAAAAGGACATCCTGCATAGAGGACTGATTAATGGTATTCGTGTGGCTTTCATTAGCTAACATAATTGTCAGTCACCGGTTGTCACTGTGGGATCTGCACATATGTGATGGTGGGCTTTTTACACATTTATGCAGGGAAGACTTAGCTGGGATCATAGCTGAAAGCTCATTGTTACTTGATAACATTTTGCAGGTTTCCTGTGTAATTTGTTCAATGTGTTGAGGCTCTTCAGATTAGCTGCACAAACGTGGAGAGTAAAGATATGAGCTAGCTTTGCATTGTCAGATCCTTCAGAGACCAGAAATAACAACTTACCTAGTGTCACATGCCATCAGCATATCTCTGCAGCAGACACATGCTAAAATTTGTTTCCTGTTCTTAACAATACAGTACAATATTCGATATAGCTGCACGAATAATATTTGAAAAATAAGGGCACAGTAGATGATCAAAACAAGAGGATTGCTTAGATGAATGAGGTTGTTTTTTTGGAAATTTATTTTGCCCTTACCACAAGTATTTTTTCACCCATTAAATTATTAGAATAAATGAACATGTTGCATTGAGTTTTTGTGGTGGTCAGAATATGAAATATAAGTATTTTTGGATTACAACCACATTTTTCTTCCCTAAATTGTGTGACATAGCAAATAGGAAAAGCAGAACACAAAAGTAGACTTTGGAAGTATACTTTGCATACCTGCATGTTTTGAGTTAGAGTCAGAGGAGTATATTTGTGATCTTTTAAGATATTTGAAAACACTTAAAGCCTGTAAAGAGAAGTATTCAAAAGAAGCTCCTGTGAAATGTGTGGCATTGCTCTGAAAGCATTTGCATGTCTGTTTTAAAAGGCTGTTCTTTGCACTGGACTGTCTGCCTCTGTTGATGCATTTCTAAGGATGTGGATATGTTTATATTAATGTCAAGCAAGTTTGAAATAGATTTAGGCACAGACTGCTTAAAACTTGCTCTGTTATTAAATTGTTTCAGGGTGTGGAACTACCGCCTCTCTAGAAACACATAGAGAGCAAAATTATGAACTGCGGTAGACCAAATACAATTAAATCATGCTTAAGATTCTCGGAACACCTCCTGCATTTGAAGCATTAACTTAGCCTTGAGCTTGCCTTCAACTAATTTTTAATTAACAGACCTTTTATGCTTAGATAAGACTTTCAAGACAAGTAAAAATTTTTTTGCACTTTTAAAATTCGAGTACTTACTTAACAAGAATTGACCCTAAGTTTAGGAACTACCATTGGCCTTATAAAGTTATTCCTGGGTATTAGAAGATACTTGGTGAATAGGTTTTATTTCAGTGAAATAAATGATATTGTTTCATGTGAGTAAACCATATGCCTGAGAAACACGTGTACATTGAAAATGAATTCTATTAACAGATAGCTATTTATATAATCTCTGACAAAAAGAAAATTTACTCTGTTGAAAATTGACTCATTATGGATAGATGAAAAAAAGTCATACAAACCACATGGGCTCAAATATTAGTTTGCACTTTTATAAGAATCTGTGAAATATTCAGGGCTATTCCAGTAGTCCTGGAAGACAAAAAGTTTGAAAAAATATCCATAAAGACAAAAAAAGGTTTAAAATTTTTGCCCTGTGTCCTTGATACTTGAATTTGAGCTCTGCCCTGAGTGAGCGAGAACCTTTGTATGGTCCTTGTCTAGAAGGTACCACTGACGGCAGAACATCCATAAGTCAAGGATGCAATTGTGCAGCTCTGTTGGTAGTACACAGATGTGTTTCTTCACTTACGCTATGGAGGATTTTGAGTTATCAACTTAAGAGAGCTGTTTTCTGAAAAGCTGGATATCCTCATGTCATAGAAGTTACCCCAGAAGGACGCAGCAGGGACATTATTACACCTGGACTTCTAGGGATGCAAAGTTAGAGTAGCTGTGAGCTTTTCCACATCTGATGATTTTGGAACTATGTGCAAGAGAGAGAAATTCAGGCTGGTCACTAGAGGTATCCTTGAACCGCAAACATCGAGAAATGTTCATACATCAGGGTCAGCTTAAGAGGGGATATTTTAGCTAAGAAGGACCTTGGATCTGAAGGTCTCTGCCTCATTGCATTGTAGATCATCTCGTAAGGCAAGGAATGTACCACTCTGCATATGGACCCCAAAAGGAAAGGAGAAGTGTTGACCTGCCCAATGAGTGATTGGTTTCCTTCCATCAAAAGACCATAGTGGGGTTGGGGCCCTGAAGTCACGATTGTGAGGATGAACCATGAGCATTTCAGTGCAATACCGCTTGCAGAATTTAAATGATTTAAATGAATGTAATGTTATTATTAATTAAATTTAACTTATAAATTATTAACTCAAATATTTACAAGAATTTCTTTCATGAATGCAAATTAACCAAGAGTTTAAAAATACTTAATGACATGAACATAAAGAAGAAACCTCCTTGAGAGCGGAGGGTGAGAAGAACGTGACGATTGAAAAACTGCCAGTTGGGTACTATGCTTATTACTTGGACGATGAAATCATCTGTGCAGCAAACCCCTGCAACACTCAATTTACCCATATAAAAATCTGCACATGTACCCCCTGCACCTAATATAAAAGTTAAAAAGAAAAAAAAGAAAAAAGAACAGACTAATGCACACACGCACACACAGACACACATACACACGTGCGTATTTAATGAAGCCTAGGTCTTTTATCTAATGGCAGAAAGATCAGATGAGAAAGGCAGAAAATCAGAGACAGACCAAGGCTCCCGGTTTTTTTTTTTTTCCTCTGTATGTGTTAGCATGTATATGTGTAAATGTATTTCTGTTTGCTAAACCATCTAAAGTTTAGTTGAAGACATCATGACATTTCACCCCTAAATGCTTAAGCAGATATTGTCTAAGAACAAGGAGATTCCTTTGCGTAACCACAACGCAGTGCTCCTGCTTGAGAAATTTAACTTTGATACAATATTTTTATTCAGATTTCCCCAGTAGTCCCAATAATATCCTATACAGCTCTTTTTCCCTTGGAGCAGGATCCAATCAGTAGCTCCACATTAGATTGACTTGCCATGTCTCTTTAATCTCCTTTAATCTAGATCACATTTACAGTCTTCTTTTGTTATTGATGACATTGATTTTAAAGCCTACTTCAGTTGTTTTATAGAATATCTCTCATTTTGAATTTGTCGTATTGTTTCCTCATGTTTGAAATCAAAACCCCTAATACAGAAATAAATAAACTAATGAAGACAGAAGGTGAAGAGGAAGGAGAGACGAGCTAGAGAGAGAAAAGAAGGAAAGAGAGGGGCAAACTGATTTTATGATAAAATGTTTATCAAAGGGGAAGAAAACAAAGTCTCCATAGATTTATGCTCAGACTATATTGATAAGCAAATATATGGAGTGGTAAGGGGGGAAACATGGTCCTTAAAGAGAAGGTATCTGAAGTATAGTTGACACTCAGACAATGTAGGCATTAGGGGTGCCAATCCCCTGTGTGGCCAAAAATTTAAGTATAACTTTTGACTCCCCCCAAACCTAACTACTAATAGCAGCCTACTGTTGACTGGAAGTCTTATCGATCACACAAACAGTTGATTAATAAATATTTTTAACTTATATGTATTATATATGGTATTCTTATAATACAGTAACATAAAGAAAATATTACAAGGAAGAGAAAATATATTTATTCATCAGGTGAAAGTGGATCATTATAAAGGTCTTCATCCTTGTCATCTTCATGTTGAGTAGGCTGAGGAGGAAGAGGAAGAGGCGGGCATTGGTCTTGCTGTCTCAGGGGCAGCAGAGACAGAAGAAAATTCATGTATAAGGCATTTTGCTTAGAGGCAAGGGAATAAACCTTGGAAGTTCTGGTGTGTTCCCAAGTTAAATGTAAAATCCAGAGGGGTGAAGAATTCAAACTAGTTATTTCAGTTTATAATAAATTAATGAGGCAATGTATTTTTTTAATATGTGTAAACCAGTTTTTGGTGTCATGTAGCACCGGCAGATTTGTTTCTTTAAAACCCTTCACCAGGCCATTGGCTCACACCTGTAATCCCAACATTCTGGGAGGCCAAGGCAGGCAGATTGTTTGAGCCCAGGATGTGGAGACCAGCTTGTCTAACATGGCGAAACTCTGTCTCTATGAAAAATACAACAGTTAGCCAGGGGTGGTATCATGCACTTCTGGTTCCAGTTACTCAGGAGGCTGAGGTGGGAGGATCACTTGAGCCCAATAGGTGGAGGTTGGAGTGAGCCATGATCATGCCACTGCACTCCAGCCTGTGCAACCGAGCAAGATCCTGTCTAAATAAATAAATAAATAAATCCCTTCACCAGGCTCACAAAATTAAAAATGATCTTAAGGAGTTAACAGAAATATGTAGACACTATTTCAGATAACATGAGAATTTAGTCTGTTTTAAAAAACCTGCAAAACAGAGATTCATGAACCACATTTTAAAAAGACTTCTATGAAAGCTCTTCAGAAAAAAATATTTTCAAGGTGTCAAAAAAAAAAAAAAAAAAAAGAACCAGACAAAATATTCAGGTATCAAGGGCTAAGAACAGCTAAAACATGTTTTCTAATTTGCCAGTGGCCAGTGTGTCAACTACATTAAATGGCTGCTTCTCCACCTCATCTCCCAGCCACCAAATAAATAATAAGGGGAATATGTAGCTGTAGGGGTACTGCTAAGAAATCACAGCATTCAAATGATTTTTTTCTGAAATTTATTGGAAACTTCGTATGTTCATTCTTGACATTTTTAGGATTTACTTGGCAAGGGCAGAATCGTAGAAAAACAAATAGAGTTCCCTGAGTAGGAAAGGTCTCCATTTCCTGTTCATGGTTAGGTGATCCTGATTACTGTCCTTGGAGTCTTGAGCCCCTTACCCGGTGAATAATTAGGTACGGAATCAGGGAGGTATAGACTCATTTGCCTGGGTTTGTTTTCTGGGAGTTTCTGTTTAACATTCCTGAACTGGAGCAGAAGTAGATTTTGTAGCTGGCTTTTCTGAGACTCAGGAAACAGAATTGTGGAATTCTCAGGTTCTGTGACATTTGTTGATTATTAAAGTGAAATTATGTGTGAGAGGAAAATTTATTCATCTATGCTTTTAAGAAATGTCTATGATAAACAGAATTAGACATACTATATAGAATTGCATAACACACCACCACATGTCCGTATTACCCAGTTTCCACAGTTATCAGCTTCTTGGTAATTGTTTTTCACCTTTATGCCTATCCATTTCCCACCACCATATTATTTTGAAGCAAATCTCGGATATTGTAACATTTTATCTGCAAGTATTTCGGTACATATTTTTAAGCAGTCTTGCTTAAAATAAGAATGGTATGTAGGTGTTTAATGTATTCTCCAAGCTAATGCATAATTTAAGTACTCACAGTCTCTGTTGAGACTATTTAGATGCACTAAATCCAATCAAAGAGAGAATTTGTTGTGAGTAGTGGTCATCTGGAATGGTCCATTCATTGTGTATGGGATAGAAACTCTGTAGGTCCAGTCAAAGAGTGATAGCATCAGAGAATTTCTGTCTTGAAGAAAGGAGCCATTGTTAAGATTGATGGGTTTTCTGTGTTCTTTGGTCCCCTCTGATGACAGGATAGTGAAATGAGCCCTAGCTCCGAGTACCCACAAACTTTGTAACCATGGATAAAGTCAGCCACTTACTTATCTCTGAAATTAAACTTCCCGATTTTAAAAATGGATGTGATGCTTCCTGCGCCTATTCACAGTACTGTGATACACTGTGATTTGGGATGTGAACACGCTTTAAAAATAATGGCCCGGTTACATATTCTCCTTTTTATTTTTTATTTTTTTTTAATTTCTTTTTGAAACAGAATCTCACTCTGTCACCCAGGCTGAAGTGCAGTGGTGGGATCATGGCTCACTGCAGCATTGACCTCCTGGGCTCAGGTGGTCCTTCCCCCTCAGCCTCCCAGGTAGCCGGGACTACAGGCACATGCCACCATGCCGAGCTAATTTTTGTATTTTCATAGAGATGGAGTTTCACCATGTTGCCCAAACTGGACTCCAACTTCTGAGGTCAAGTGATCCTCCTGCCTCAGCCTCCGTAAGTTGGGGGATTACAGGCGTGAACCACCGTGCCCAGCCTACATACGCTCCTTTAACACAGGCTTTTGGTTCTTTGAAATTACCAACATTCAGGATTCTTAATGGCATCAGAGAATATAAAGCTTGAAACTATCTAGAATTTTTTTAAGGAATAATTTTCTAATCTTGGTTCTCTGCTTCTGAGTATATTTTATTTGGGCATTTTATTTTTCTCCAAGATGAGATCCATTTTCGCTCATCCATTTTGAAATTGTTTTTCTCTCTGTTAATAAAACCTTTGGAATGGTGCCTTGATCAGGCTAACTCCAGATTAAATGTTTCTCTTTGAAAGATTGCCTGGTGATCAGAGTTGTTTTTCATTCTCTTTTCTTCTTTTAGCCTTGCCTCCCCGATTGAAAGAGATGAAAAGCCAGGAATCGGCTGCAGGTTCCAAACTAGTCCTTCGGTGTGAAACCAGTTCTGAATACTCCTCTCTCAGATTCAAGTGGTTCAAGAATGGGAATGAATTGAATCGAAAAAACAAACCACAAAATATCAAGATACAAAAAAAGCCAGGGTAAGTATAATGCATAAAATAGTAGAGACTGCCCCCAGCAATAAGATAACATATAAATGTTATTTAGACCCTAATAAGTGAATTTACTATCAGAAACATAATAGATAATAAGTGAAAAGCTGTTTCATTATATAATGACAAAAAATCATGTTATCACATAGGCAAGAATTCTTGTGGTTCTTACATCTTATTGATGAAGGAAATAAAGGATGGCTGGAGAAAGAACTGTAGGAAGTAAGAAGAGATGGAAGGGAAGAAGGAAGAGAGCATTAGTGGTAGATGCTGTCATAGTAATAGATCCTAAAATTCAATTTCTTGGCCGGGATGGTGGCTCACAACTGTAATCCCAGCTCTTTGGGAGGCCGAGGAGGGCAGATCACCTGAAGTCAGGAGTTCGAGACCAGCCTGGCCAACATGGTGAAACCCTGTCTCTACTAAAAACACAAAAAGTAGCTGGGAGTGGTGGGCGCCTGTAATCCCAGCTACTTGGAGGCTGAGTCAGGAGAATCACTTGAACCCGGGAGGTGGAGGTTGCAGTAAGCCAAGAGCACGCCACCGCACTCCAGCCTGGGCAACAGAGCGAGACTCCATCTCAAAAAAAAAAAAAATGCAATTTCTTTAAAATAAGACAAATGCATATGATAATTTAGAGTACCAGTGCCTTACACAGTTAAAATCACAACTTCATTGTAAAGCTCAGTGAATACTTAGATTTATGGAAAGAATTGGAATGTAACCAGTTGAATTCAGACTATTTTTTAACAAGGGGTTAATGATATAATTTTATCTAATAAGAATTTTTAACTGACACTGCTGATAAAGCACATCATCATTCTAGCAGATTTTAAAATTAGGTAATCTTAGGTAGCAAGAATTTTACATGTTCCTACCCTCCCCGAGGAGGTCCATATTTGACAGGGCTTCATGTGATTCCTGTAACATCTTGGTGGATGCATTCTGTATCTACTCTAAAATGATACTCTGTTATCATCCCTACACTCTTCATTCTTATTTACTTCCTTACTTAAGAATCATTTCTTCTAATATCAAACTACATTTTGAAATCAGAGAAGAGATAAGTGGATTAGATTTTTGCTTCTAAAGAGTCCTTTAATCAACGTGACATGTATAATAGTGGTTCCAAACTCAAAGATGATATTTTCTGCACTCACATCTCACAGGGTTCCAGTGAACCCCCAAGTATGGTAACAGAAGCAACAGAACAATCTCCTATACTTTGATTTTATAGGACATTAACCAGAAAGTTGTTACACATTCATGAGCAAAGTGATTACAATGAGAATTAAATTTAATCTTATCAAAGATTTTGCTCTGATGACTGTATTTTCTTTTCTAGTTTCTGTGGTTTTATTAGCTACATACTTTATTAACTACACGTTGACTCTAGTTATTGATCATGTCAGATAGATCTATAGCTTTGGAAGTATAATAAAGTGTAAAAGAAAGGGTTGTATCACTTTCTGCAGCAGGTGGTACTTCAAAGATACAAAATATAATACTGTAAAGAGACATGGCATTTTTATACCTAATATTACTAATTTTTTTTACATTATTCCAATATGTAGCAGTTCAGCAGCACATGGCAACTATCTTATTTTGCAGATTAGGAAATTGAGGGTCAAAAAAGTGTTCTGCTTTGCCTCAAGTCATATAACTAGTAAGAGACTCAGTGAGAGCTGAGTTTATCATTGTTATACCCATTAAAAATGTAATATACTGAGAATGAAATTAAGTTTCTTCCTGTAGATCATAGTGGTAATTAATGGTTCAAGTTAGATTTGAAATAGGTCTGACTCTAAGTCTCATGTTTAACAGCATATGTGCATGAGGGGAGGAGGAAATACAATGAATGAATTGAAAAGATAAGTATGATTCTTACAAAGAAGTTTAACAGGACAAAAAAATACTCCTAGATTTTGGATGGAATGGATTTTGGTGTTTGCTTTTCATCAGACAAGTTAGTAAGGAATGAAGTTATCTCTACATGCAGGGTAATGTCTCATTTATTTCTACGTGGCTGTCAAAGGATACCAGTAATATTTAAGTGCCCATGAAAGGTTTTATGCTAGGACTGTGGAGAAATTAAAGAGGTATAGGGCATTACAATCTCTGTGCCCAGGGGCGGGGGTCATAAGATTGTACAGAGATTATCTAGTTCAGTCTTATATGAAACATGGGAAATTTTGGAAGTTATGTATTGAAACACTGTTAGAGCAGGGGAGGAGGAAGGGAGGGAGGAGAATTTCATCTAGAAGAAAGCATCTCACATTGCAGATATTCAATCTGATGCTACCTGGAGAGAAGCAAATGAAGTTCGGTAGATAAGATGAGAAAATGAATTTTTTTAAAAAAGTGAACTGACTAGAATGAATAGGCTTTAGAAAAGGTACATGTATACTTAAAGAGGTAATTTGTTACCTGGCTTCAATGACATATAAAAGTATCATTAGTATTCAGAAAAGCATTTTCATATTGGCTTCATAGGTCCAGACAGCTAAGAGCACTGTCTACATATTAATAAAATCCCATTATACCAGAAAGGGCAATAGTTAGAAATTACTTCTTTTAAACAATAGTCTTGCTGGAAAGAATTAAATGGGGAAAAATGTATTGAAGTGATGCAACCATAAATCACTCGCAGCAAAGCAGTTAACATATTTGATCTAAAAATAAGACATACTTTGTATAGAGTGGACAGCTACTTGAGAAGCGATCATCTTATCAGTTTTTAGAATTGGGTATTTTGTCATTTCTAAAATTGTGTCTTTTTATAAAGAAGAGCATTGTCAGCTTTTTTAAGATTAAAGGTTCCAACTGAATCTCAATTTAATTAACATTTGCAAGGTGTTCTATTATTTCAATTTATCCAGTAAATATAAGTAGAAGGAATATAATTATTGTTATACCCATTTAAAACATTAATATCCTGAAAATGAAGGAAGCTGAGTTTCTTCCTGTAGATCATAGTGGTAATGAATTGTTAAACTTAGATTTGAAATAGGTCTGACTCTAAGTCTTGTGTTTTTTCAACAGACATTTGTGATTATGCTACATAAAGTTAGAAGTCAGAACATAGGGCTCTGGCATGCTTAGGATAATGTCTTTAATTAAAAGATTCTTATTTTTCAGATGCATTTATATATTACTATTAATGATTTTTAATTACTAAGATATTCAGACTATTAGTGTTTTGCAGTTGTTAGTTGGTTACTTGACTTAAACTTTTTCTTAGGCTATGATCAACCAAGCAGAGGTGAAGTTTAGTTTGAGGTGTAAGATTTTTCTGGGATTCTCTTTAATTAAATACTTTGACTCTTTCCCAATCCTTAGTCTTGGCTTCTTTTTCACACTTCTTATAATCAGATTATGCATAGCAGCCAACATATCCTTTTAATCTCTTGGTGTTTAGTGGCACAATTTCACAGCAATATGCAATTTCTATTATTTTGTAAAATCTTACCCTTGTTTTGCCCACGGTCCTACTAAAAACTACATTCCTACGTGTTCTTTGTATGATTTTTGAATTCCCATTGAGCCTTTGTTTATTTGGCTAACCCATGTGTGGGGCCAATGAAAAGAAATGGAAACTACCCTCATGTTATATGTCTGCTTATGTCTTTGTTCTTGTTTTCTTTGATTGGTGGATGATTTTGATCAAGAAAACTGGTTAAAAAGCTTGGCGTGTGACAGATTCATATGTAAGGACTGGCAGATTGACCTCATTTAAATACCTGTTCTATCTTAGCTTTATTAAAGACTGGCTTCCTATTATTTGTATGTTTCACACACTTTTGGACACCATTAATTTTGCCTCAGCTCTTACATATTTTAATTTTGTTTAAAATTGGCTGTCATTGGTTACATTGGACAAATATTACAATTATTTCCTCTATTTTTACTGGTTGCTTTTTTTGACTTTATAATGGAAAAAGTTTATGTGCATTTCTTTTCTCATATTAGCTGAGCAACTCTGGCAGATCACTTGAACTTTATATATAATGAAATCTCAATGTTCTTATGTAGAAAATGAGAATCCTCAGTGGCATTCCATATGGTTTATGTGAGGCACTTGGTACAGTGACTGGTTCTGTTGCTTAAGAAGCCTCTCTTTTAGCCAAGCACAGTGGTGTGTACCTGCAGTCCCTGCTACTGAGGATCTCTTGAGCGCAGGAGTTCAAGACCAGCCTGGGAAACATAGCAAGACCCCGTCTCTATACTTAAAAAAAAATCATAATTTCCTCTTTCACTTCTTTGTCCTTTTCACGATGATCAGTTTTACACTATCTGAAGCAGTGTTGGACACACACACACACACACACACACACACAAACACTGTCTATATAATTCCTTAGGGGTCAGGGAACCAAAACTGTATAAACAGAAGAGTTCTTCCCTATATGTGTTTAAGTTGCCTTAGCCTGTAACTATGGTAGAATAATCGAGTTAAAATAAAACTAAACTAAATAATAGCTAATGGAACCTTGAATTCACCTTGTAAGTGAGCACACAGTAAAAAACACAGTGTGCTTTCTGATATTAAAAAAATGAAAAGGAAATTAATATTCAGAACTTTTTATCTTCAAATCACTTCACATTAATTTATTTTTACACTGTACTGTTTTTTCTTATTCTAAAAGTAATGCATGCTTATTATGAAAATCCAAATATTTCAGGAATATAGAATGTAATTACTATAATAATAGCTAACACTTATTGGGAAGTTACTATATTGAAAAAATTATTTTAAACACTTTACACGAATTAACTCATTTAATATTTTTAGAAAATAAAAATCCATTGAAACACCAACCTTCCTCCAGATCCCTAGAAAACTCATCAATTAAAGAGCAAAAAGTTAAATTTATGACTATAAGGGAATCAAGTAGTCTTTCCAAGCTAATTTCCTTCTTATAGACAGAGTATGGTATCTTACAGAAAAGAAAAAAAGAAGACTGTTGTATCCATACTTATCAAAGCCCCAAATCTTTTTGCAATATATAATTTTCAAGGAAGATTTGGCTCATTCTACACTCTTACTACATTCTGTCCTTACTCTAGGACACAAGGCTGGATGAATCCCATAGTTAAATGTATCATTAGAATTCAGAGGGATGTTTATGCTCCTTGAGGTCAGTGGTTTTCCAATGATGTCTCTGTAGAGTCCTAAATTTCTATTGAATTGCAAAAAGGATTACCAGTCACTCTGACCTGGAACACTTTCTGTGTGATATTTTTGAATATGAGGTTCTGATTTAAGCTTTCATTTTAAAACAGGATTTTGTTGTAAAAAATAGTTGAAACCACTGATCTAATTTAATCTTTCTCTGCACAGAGATATTCTTGTAGGAATGTGCTTGGCAGGTGGCTATCCAGACTTGAATCTTTCCAAAGAGAAAACCTAACTCTTTCACAAGACACCCTATACATTTTTGAATGCTCAGAAAAGTGCTTCTATGTAATATCATTCAAAACATGTTTCCTTTTTCCTGTAAGACTTAGTTTTCCTGTAAGACTTAGCAATCCCAAATAATTTCCTTTTCCATATGCATCCTGGAAATATATTTAAATAGCTACTCATATTTCATTCATAGTTGTCTGCCAGTGGGACCTCTGTTTCTTTAACATAATCCTCTCTAGTGATAAGATTTCTAGGCCCTATTCAATTCTGATCACCCTCTTCTAAAGTCCTTTAATTATGTTTTTTTATCATCAAATATCATTCCAAAGTATATCCAAAGTATAATTCAGCATTCTAGATATGATCTAGCCGATGAGGAATGTATTGGGGCTTTTATCCAAGTTGATTGATGCTCTGCTTTAATATTAATTTGGCTAAAGAGTACATAAGGTTTTTTTTGTTATTCTTTCTTCTTAAAAATAGTTTTAAAAATGGGTTAATAATAAGCATGTGGCTAATTAGAAATCCTTATTTCTGCATATATTGTAGTCAAGGGATATCTCCTCTTGTATTTATGTCACCAGTTTTCGTACGTGAATGTACTTGTGATGCTTATCTCGATCAAATTGAATCTTAGTCTTGGCCCATTGATGTTCTGTCTTAGGATTCCCAAGGGTGTTCTCCATAGAAAAGATTCCATGGCCACATGTCATGGCTGCCTTAGAAATTCACAGTACAGATTTGCAAAAATTCACTGAGATGCATTGTTGTAAAGAGACCTATTTAACTTTTTTTAATGCAACATTTATTTTAGCATAGAACCATTTTTTTTAAATCTCTCTTTCTTTTAAAGCCTAACATTTGATTGCATTACTAGGAATAGTATTCCAGGAAACAGTGCCAAGGCCTATTAGGAGAAGTTTGATTTTAAGACTTATCCCTTTAAGATTATGTTAACTGTAAATATGATTACCATGTTTTCTTATAGTTCCATCTAGTTCAATAGTTAAAATGTTAATTGCATTGGGTCAAGAAAGGGGTCTTTACATACAAACACGATTGTTCCTAGATTTGTATAAATAGGAAAGAAAGGTTGTTCTTGAGGGTGTTGTAATAATCTTGGAGTTGTAAATTCTTGGGATGTTGTTGTAATCTTATCTCAGAATTTGGGGACTTAAGAAAAGCTACAGTTTTCTTACTTTAGAAATTTACTCCTTCTGTGGCATTGAAAATCAAGATACTATGCCCCACCCTGATATTGTTCATAATTTATCTATTATTGCTAGTGGTTTCATGGTTATACATGAAAATTCTTCCAGCAAACCATGCTAAATGTTGGGCTGGAAAATCTTACAGTGCTTATCCATTTTTTTCCTCACTATTTTTCAAAGGTACCTGTCATGAAGGAAACTTGTCATATATGATCAAAGTAGATATATAGCTGATAATCCATTTAAAAAATCATACGGTATTTGAACGCTCCAAAATTCAGCCCCAAAATTAATACAGCCTGCATTGGGTGATATTCTAATATTGTTTTATTTCGATAATTTTAAAAGTTGTCATATTTTATTGTTAAGACATATCTATTTGCAAAGATACTTGTCATCAAAAGGCCCATTTTGGCTTATAGGGATATACTTCAGGGAAGCTTTCCTATGAATAATGTCTCTGGTTGATGTGTGAATATTCTTTAAATGGCCCTTGGTGGTCTCCCCATTCCTAGATAGATAAGGCTGTTAAATTACATCCACTTTTTGTCAACTTTGTTCCGTGGACCATTATTTTCAGAAAACATTAACAGATATGCCTTGTGAATGAAAAGGATTCCATGGTCAAAGGAGTTTGAGAGAAAATAAATAATATATCCCTTTTCGGGGAGTCAGAGTACAACAGCATATTCAAGATGCTGAGAAATCCTGTGAGATTAAAGATAATGAAAAGCCTGTCTTTATTTCACCTAATATTTTCCAAATTTATTTGAATGTGGAACACATTGCTTTGTTACCTCATGTTTACCTGTTGACATCGAGTCCCGACTAGCGCAGTTAACTTTTCTTTTTCTTTTTCTTTGACCAAGTCTCACTCTGTCACCCAGGCTGGAGTGCAATGGTGTGGTCTCGGCTCACTGCAACCTCTGCCTCCCGGATTCAAATGATTCTCCCGCCTTAGTCTCCTGAGCAGCTGAGACTACAGGCTCATGCCACACACCTGGCTAATTTTTGTATTTTTAGTAGCGACAGGGTTTCACTATTTTGGCCAGGCTTGTCTTGAACTCCTGACCTCGTGATCTGTCTTCCTCGGCCTCCCAAAGTGCTGGGATTACAGGCGTGAGCCACTGCTCCCAGCCGTGAAGTTAACTTTTCAACCCCTATGTTGGTTTGACCACCACTGCCCCTGGTCTGGACCACCTCTGATGGTCTTTGCCCTCTCATTATGGCATTTTTCTTTCCTCCCAACCAGCCTTAGAAATATTAGGTTCTGCTGAGTACTTAAGCAAACATCCAGATATTTTATTCATTCATTCACACATTTATTCAATAATGTCTGAAGAGAAAGCATAGCCTGATGTATGCTCCACGAGACTAGCAAGAAGTTGACATTATAGCTACACTCTCCAAAGTATATGTCCTAGGTCAAGAGATGAGACATACTGAAGGAACTCTCATGAGAGGCGTACTCAGGGCTGTCAGAATTTAGACACGTGAGAGCAGCTCCAGCTACATGACCAGGAGGGGCTTGGTGAAGCAGTTGGCACCTGACATGGCCCTGGAAGGTCAGCTGAGATTTTGATGCATAGGAATGCAGGACCCCCATTGTAGGAAGAAAAAATGACACAGACAAAAGCACAGAGGTGGAAGATCAGGGGGTCTACATGTGGAACTTTGGGTGGTTCAATCGGATAGACTGGAGGATACTAGTAGGAATTATATTTGGAACAATTGATTTTTCTCAGTTAACATTAATGTGTGACAAGAAGACCAGAAAATTCACCAGAAAACTAGCAAAGTATAACGTGGGAGATTTGCAACCAGAAGGATTACTGTTGTTTCTTCCTCCTTTGTTTTCTCCCTTGTCGTTATCCCCTTAAGAGCCCAATAAATCACAGTTACCAGGCTAGAGCATAGAAGGATTGCTATTATTTTTTGGAGATAGGGGTCTCACCCTGCTGCCCAGACTGGAGTGCAGTGACTCTTCACCAGCATGATCATGGCACACTACAGCCTTGAATTCTTGGGCCCAAGTGATTCTCTCATGTCAGCCTCCCAAGTAGCTGGGATTCCAGGGGCATGCCACCACACCAGGCTTTAGAATAATTCTTTAGAAAGAATTCAGTAAACTCTGAGCCAATCCCTGCTGTTCTGAGTTCTTATATCTTGGAGACTGCTTAAATTATAGGTTATGTGCAACAGTAAAACACAGACACAGCAAATCACAATGCTGCCCATGTTAAAAAAAAAAAGTGAATGTTGATGTAATATTCAGAGTTTTATAAAACTATGTGATAATGTTGCCCAAATATTTATTCCAGTATTAAGAACCTTTCATGTGGTACTATGCTCCCAGCAATGAGAATCTTAAGGAAAGAAAAATTCCCTTCCTTTTGGAATTGATAAATCCTCTTAATTCAAAATTAACATTATTCTTGATGTTACTCTACTGAGAAGAAGAGTGCACAGTATTTTTAAAATCTATTCTAACCTTCAGTAAGTGTCCTTAACAGACTTGTAGGAAATGATTTTATACATTTTTCTCTTCCTAAACCCTAGTGGCTGATGGCATTTGGATATAGAAAAGTAAGAAAATTTACCAATTGGGTTTAAAAATCTAAAGTATAACACAGTTATTGGTGATGGTAAGGGAGTAAAAAGAAAAACTACAGAAGAATTCCTTTAAACTACTGATTTAGGTGATAAAATTGAGATGAAATCCATGGTACAACTTAAATGTGATGCATCTTACTTTTACTCTAGGTAAAATCATGAGGTCAGATCAATGTAACGGAAGTTGTATTTTAACATATGTATAAGGTGGGGAGAGGCAGTTTGAGAACTCTGAAAGCATAGAAAAGTATGTATTTATATTTGTTGGATTTCTGTGATATATACTGACACCACTTTGGTCCTGATCTTATAGGAAGTCAGAACTTCGCATTAACAAAGCATCACTGGCTGATTCTGGAGAGTATATGTGCAAAGTGATCAGCAAATTAGGAAATGACAGTGCCTCTGCCAATATCACCATCGTGGAATCAAACGGTAAGAGATACCTACGGTATTCTGTTCCTCAATCTGTAACAAGAGTAATCAAAACATGTGGTAAGACTCATAATAGACTGGTGTGTTAAATCTCATTGTGAACAAATTAAAAACAGAGAAAGAAAACCAGATGTTTCAAGGATCTTGTATGTCTTTCATAAATTTCTGTACTCTATGAGATTATATAGACCTGAAATATACATATATTTTTTACAAAAGGATTTTAATAAGGCCATGAATGGCAGAGATAGGTTGGGTTGCTAAAATATAGGGGCTATACTATTTTTTTAAGTTGGTCAGTGAGGGCAGTCAAGTCTTTGGCTCTCTGAACAACAGAATACAGTCATATATATATACAGGATATATATACACAATATGTATATATGCACACAGAATATATGCATATTATGTATTATATATGCGTTATATATGTATATATGTTTACGTATATATAACATATGTATTATATATGTATTATGTATGTATTATATATGTATTATATATATTACATATATAATATGCATACATATATAATATGCATATATTCTGTGTGTGTGCAGAATACAGTCCTGACTCAATTCTGGCAATTTTATTCCCATTACATCTGGCATTAGGTAGTAGAAAGTTAAACCATTAATTTTTTTTAGGCCTATTAATTTTGAAATTAGGACCGTCTTAGAGGCAATAAATTTCCTACTAGGAAGAGGCTTCATCTTCAGCTTTGTTCAGAATAGTACCAGGCAATACTTGTTAAACAAATGAATGACTTAGAGGTAAGAAATACAATCCACCTCTGACAACTTCTGTGTTATTCCAGGAAATTAAAAGAACCACCCCGATGGCTTTGTGTTTTGTAATAGCCTGATACTCCATGATTTGATGGAATCATCTATAGGAGCTGATGATGATGATGACCTAGCAATGCTTCTTTAAACCTTTTAGAATAATCAAATGCTATTTTAAAACCTTTAGTGCTTATTTATTTATTTATTGAATTATGGCACTTAACTATTGCCTTTACAAAATTTGTCATCTGTTATATAACCAAGCCTAATTGCATCTTCTTGGTAGGAGATGAGAAAGATTCTGCATTTCAAAGGCAAGCGCTCTTAAAGTGATAAGGTAAAAATGCCAGGTCAGCACAGGCAGAGTTAAAGTAATTTTAAGGGTTAATTCTATGGGAGGCTGATGTAGTTTTTGTCACTTGATTCTTCTGTAACATACTAAGAAAGTGAGAAGGGAGATAAAAATCAGAAACAGGGCTGGGAAAATTCAGGTTAATGCCTCATCCTCTCTGGACTTCTCAAGGATCTGCTCCATCACAGAGTAATCAAAGTTTATCACTTTCATTTTAAATGTCTCCCTCCATAGAGAGTAAAGGAGAGCAGGGAAAAGGAGTTTCCATTACCATTAGGAGTCCTGTTTATTACAGTTTAAAATGTAAAAGCCATTTAAAATTTATATGAGTAAATATAGCATCACTTTATTTTTTAACCAGGGCAGGTTAAGCAATAATAGTTTGCTAGTATTACTTTACCCCACGTAGAATTCTATAGGATGCTACCTGAAACACACATTAAAAAATTAATTTTAATGGGCTGTTTTTTACTTTCTACTATAACCATTGTTTGAAGCTCGTTCTCCTTAGTTTGTCACTGGCTTGGTTCAGTGTGTTTCCTCATAGTTAATGGTATTCAATTGTGATTTTTGACACTTGGATTTGATTCGTGTAGCTATACCACAAAGTCCCAGGAAAATAAAATTAAAGCTAGTGTCATAGTCTCACTGAGTGTCTACAGAAGTATCATATTGATTATTCCATGGTTTCTGATTTACAGGATTAAGCAATGAATTATTTACTACTATATTATTCCTGGCAAAAACCCATAGAATTCCTTTTTTATTAATTTGGGGGTACTGAAAGTTTGATAATATGGCTTTTTACATTTCTTACATAGGAAAAACAGCTAATTCATTTTTTCCACATTAATTCACTGAAGTCTTGGTCTAGTGATCAAATTTGAATATGTAGTGTTGACCAATTATAGGGTAGAGAGATGAAACTCGAGGTGTTTTTGATAATGAGTCTTTTTTACCTGGCAAGAATAAAGAGAAGTTCATGGAATATTTTAAGTAAATCCTTCTTAAACAACCAACAAAAATTCTTTCAGAAATAGGTTCCTATGGACTTATGTAATTAAAGCCTCTGAAGAATGAGAATGAAGAGTCTCAATTGCAATGCAAGTTGGCCTTCTTTTTATTCTCTTCTTGGAATGTTAGGAATAGATCATCCTTATCCAACCCCTTCATTGTATTAAAAAAGAATAAAAGACAGCATAGAAAACAGACTTATTCAGGATCACAGAGATATTTAACAGCAAAAGGAGATATGAACCCAGGTTTTTTTTGTTTTTTTTTTTTTTGTTTTTTTTTTTTTTTGCTTCATTCCTACCACAGTGCAGTTCCATCTGTATCTGAAATGTTTTTTGTGTGTGTTTTCTTTTTTGTTTTTTGAGACAGGGTTTCACTCTGTCACCCAGGCTAGGGTGCAGAGGTGTGATCTTGGCTCACTGCAACCTCTGACTCCTGGACTGAAGGGATCCTCCCACCTCAGCCCCCTGAGTAGCCAGGTGCATGCCATTACGCCTGGCTAATTAAAAAAAAAAAATTTTGTTTGAGATGGAGTGTTGCTATGTTGCCCACTCTGGAACTCCTAGGTTCAACTATGTTGCCCACTGTGGAACTCCTGAGTTCAAGAAGTCTACCCACCTTGAACTCCCAAAGTGCTGGGATTACAGGTGTGAGCCGCTGCGCCCAGCCTTACTCTGTATCTGACTATATGCTTGCAAATGTTTAAGTGAGATTCTTTTGCTTATAAAGAACAGAAGCTGAAGGAATGGTATGAGGCCTAAGGAGTGAGGGATTCTATGGCGAAGAACTAGAACTTCATTATAACTCAGCCTCGAGGAGATGGAATTGTATGCTGAGCATCTCTGCGAATTTAAGCAATGCGAGTTTGTGGCTTTTCTCTCTGGTGTTTCTACCTTTAATATGCTTCTGATAGTTTTAACAAAAGTTACCTACCTTCTCACCTCTCCTACTTTCAGACTCCGCCTCTTTATAATTCCAAACTTTGACCTGTTTCTTGCCCCCACGTGGCCATATTCTTCATGGCAATTTCAGGCATTCTTTCAGCTTTAACCTCTACTGTATGATTGTTTCCTTGGTTCCCCAGTGAAATTCCGCAGACCAAGAATCCTATTAGCAAAGTTGATTGTTGCATATTCATTAAAAGACCTAGAGAACTTACAAATTATCTGCTGTCTGGTCATACGTCCACTGCTGCCTCAACTAGGGAGGGTGGAGCCGGAAACATAGCTGCCCGGAAGCTCCTCTCTTCAAAGTCTGGGGGTGGAGCATGCAGCTCACCTGGGCCTGTGGCTTGGCAGGCACCATGATTGACAAGGCCAGTTTCCTGTACATTAGAGGAGATACCCTTTTTGCTCTGCACCTTAGAGTCCTAGTTATAGTGCATCCAGAAGGAAAATATGTAATCATCTTGATCCCTTATCCTCTTCCACTGCTATCTAAGAATTTGCTATATTCTGTTCAATGCTTGGTTGTCAAAGAAGCCTCAGTTGGGTTCTGAGCTCTCCGGGGCTTAGATGCACTGCCTTTGTATTGTCTCATTCCTGTCTCCCTAGGAATCAGGGCAGACGTTGCACAGAAACACTTTTTCTGAGAGAAAAAGGGCACTTTCTACTGGGTTTATAAATTGCCGCACCACTGAACCATGTCTTCCTAAATAGATATTTACCGTTGACTTGGGCTGATAGAGAGTAGAATTCTCAAGAATTTCCTTCCCTCCCTCCTTCCTTCCTTCCTTCCTTCCTTCCTTCCTTCCTTCCTTCCTTCCTTCCTTCCTTCCTTCCTTCCTTTCCCTCCCTCCCTCCCTCTGTCTGTCTCTCTCTCTCTTTCCTTTTTTTTTTTTTTTTTTAAATGGTGTTTCGCTGTGTCACCTAGGCTGGAGTGCAGTGGCAGGATCTCGGCCACTGCACTGGATTCAAGCAATTCTCCTCCTGGATTCAAGCAATTCTCCTGCCTCAGCCTCTTGAGTAGCTGGGATTCTAGACACCCCCCACCACACCCCAGCTAATTTTTGTATTTCTTGTAGACAAGGTTTCGCCATGTTGGCCATGCTGGTCTCTAACTCCTGACCTCAAATGATCTGCCCACTTTGGGCTCCCAAAGTGCTTGGATTACAGGTGTGAACCATCACACCCGGTCAAGAATTTATTGTTTCATTGTGGATTCTAGAAAAAAAAAAAGTTGTTAAAATAAGAACATGCTGTCAAACTATTACATTATGTAGAACTCCCCTTGAGATTTTAATTTATATTTTCTATGAACTATCAGTCACTTTATTAATTTCATTTTTTCACCTTTTCTATGTATTTCCAAGAAGCTCATGGCTATAGTTTCGAGAATTTCTATACAGGTTTCCTTGATGAATGATCCTTGTAGGTTGCTGCAATCTAATTATCCTAATTTTTTCCTATGCAGAGGATTCCTTGTGATTCACTTAAATTCTCACACAGTTACTTTTTGTATGTTCCAACATGTTTAGAACATATTTTGATACAAGATTCTAAGAGAGATGGGGAGGTTGGGGGAGACATTCGTTGGAAGCTGTTTACTTTCTCCCCAGATGACCTTGCTGTTTGGCATGATGTTTAATCTCATTAAGGAAGCTATAGTAATTATTAAAATAAAATTAGATCATAAAAGTCTTCTGCAATGAAACTCATTGTTTAGATCTATCTGGATTAGTGACTAAATATAAACGAAATGATTAAAAAATTAGGAAATTCCCCTTGAAACAGTATATGCTTGGGTGTAACAGTGGCCATACTTATACTGTTTTCAAGCACTTAGAAAATAATACAGTCAAGCATTTTGCCAACCTACATTTTAGAAATGTAGGTGTTTTCTGTCTTTTCCAATGCCTTTCAACCCCTACTTTATTCAGAATTAGAGAAAGTAATTTATCCTGTAGTAGACATATATCAACCTATGCAATCTGCTAATTACTTCTGGGACAATGTAAAGCTTACAAAGACCAGTTGGGTTTTCATATAACAAAGGATCTCATAGGCAGTAATTATGTGATAACTTATGAGTGAATTCCTTTCATGAATTCGTATATGACAGCAGAAAAGGCCACATACATCATGTTTACACACCCTACACACTATATGTTCATTTGTATTTGTGGTTTATTTGGCTCAGTCTGTATATAGGAAACCTTGACTTAGCAATTAATTCTTAGCTAACAAGCTTTGTGAAAACTCCTGGGCTTTAGAGTAGGGAAGAGAATAATAGACTTTACTGGTTTCCAAATTAATTAAGTAATGCTTTCTTTTAAAAGATTAATATAGGAAAATATACAACTAATCAATCATATCTTCTCCTAAGTTTTCTTTTTTAATCAGAAGAAAAATTATTTGAATGAGATTCAAGTTCCCACAGGAGCAATTGGGCTTGTAGCAAAAAAATAGCTGTTTCATTTGAGATGAGCAGAAAAATATTATTTTTATAAAATTTAATTAAATTATCAATTGCAGCTTTTAAAAATAGACTCATACTGGTAATAGGCTTCGCCTTACCCCCTTTCCCAAATTGATAATGATGTTAGAAATTTCACAATATTGGGAAACAACCTGCAGTTATGTTGAAAAGCATGTAAAATATGTTTTATAATTTGTATAACAGTCTACATGTATATTGTATTATGTAGGATGCCCAGGAAGGCAAATACATGAGAACAATATGAAAGCAATAGGGTAGATTTGTCTTTTCAATGTATGGTATCCATCCTGTCTACACTGTTTATTAATTTCAAAATTTCTCAGTTGCCTTAGAGTAAGCATTCATTATGAACAGGAAGAATTCAGGTACTTAAAGATGTTCCTTAAGTTATCTTTATAACTGCTAATAAATAAATATGTCCACTTTTAAATCTTTTAAAGAAATCACTTGATCAAAATTTTTGTATGTACAGCAGTGACATATAAGTTTGGTAAAAAAGTCACATAAGTGAATGTTGGAATACACACAGACACATTTTATGTATGTTTGTATATACTGTATACAATGTGCATATGTGTATTTTGCTACATAATTATATTTAGTGTATTATGATCATGATGAAATTGCAAACATGTTACATTCATAATAATTAGAAAAATTCCTTTCTAGAAGATATCTTTGAGACCATGCAACTTTTTCCTGAGACCAGACCCCGTTTATTAAGAAAGAATTCAAACATTACAAATATACTAATGTTCATTATGTTTACTTGCCTGTTCAGCATAAGTTGCTCAGCTGTGTTCAGTTTCTGATAATTCTAAAACCTCATTAATTTGCACTAATGAAGGGGCTGTCCTTTATAAATTAACAAATGTAATATGCCAAATTACTATGGGAAAATATGTTGCTTAAATAAACATCATAAAGATTGCAGGATTTAATGCTTTTTTAAAAGTCTGTAAGTGTAATATAAAATTACTTTCAATTTACTTTTAACAAAAGGCTGTTTTCCAAATCTATAAATTCTACCCATAGCACACATAAAAATGCTTGCTGAGTGGTTTTAATTAAAAAGATTAACTTTCTTACTAGCAAGATTCTTTTTACAATGAAGACTCCTTTGGTGTAGAAGTATAGGTTAACTTTTGAGCTTGTATTTCCTCCAGGGTTAATTCAGAAAGTTTGTATTTGAAACCATAATCATTAAAGATATTTTAAGGTCTCCAAGATAAATACCTGATTTTAGGAAGAGGAGTTATTTTAAGTTGTCTCTGTGTAGATGCCTCTTTGTAGTAACCTCCTGTTCTGGTATTTTTAGGTAACATTCAATTAAAAAATGAAACATTATGGTTAACCTTCCCTCTAATCTGAGGTATTTTTTGCTGGAGATAGAAAAGTTCTGATTTTTTTTTCTTCTTGGAAGGTCACAGTGGACAGCTACTTTGTTTGTCAAAAATAAATTTGAAAAGAGTCTTGATATCCGAATTGGGATTGGGACTTCTGCCCAGCTCTAGTTGAGCACCTTGGGTTTACGACTTCATCTGGTTGTAATGTCATTGATGAATCCTGAAGGACAAGAGAAGGAAGCATCTCTCTTAGTGTAGGTCCTTTGTTTGGAAACATGGCCCTTCTAGATATTTCTAGAGAAGGACACACACTTTGTATCTCTAATATAGTTTCTTTGAGATTACATTTTCTCAAAGAAGAACAATTTCATTTTCTGCAGCCCAAATCAAGAAAGCTTGTTGGTGCTGCTTCAGAAACAGATATCTTCATATTACCAATTCGGAATATCCTCTTTCTCGCCTGATGCTTGAGAAAATCCTGAGAAAATGATGTACCCTCACATACTAATTCCTTTCAGTGAGCCCCATTTTTAGTGGATGTAAGAGCCAACGTAGGCAACTTTGATGTATTGAAACCAAGCTTACTCCTTGCATAGTTTGCCCTCCTAATCTGTGATTAGAGAGGATCATCCACACTTAATTTGCAGCAGAAAGACACATTTGGTCTTACTAAAGGTTTATTGCTAATCACTTGTTCTTAAACATTGCTGCTGAGTCTCACATGACTTTGTTTCCCTTTCAATTCCACAAAATCTTTTGTCCCTAGAGAAGCTTCAGAGTTTGAAGAAATATTGGCGCTTAAATTGATTCTGCTTACCTGCTAGACTAGTCCAATCTTGGAAACCCTAAATGGCCATATCTGTATTTAAAGATGATTATATTAGTAATAAAGTTTTCTACTCCATTATTAACAGAATATTAATTTAAACATAAAATTATATATGACCTGCTTAGGATTCTCGGTTAGATCTCATAATTTTTGTACAGTAGATAGTATCGCAGTAGATTCAGCTTATCTTTTGTCCTGGTTAGAAAATGTGAACTACCATTAAGTCATTTGGCAAGACTTATGACACAGTGAAACTTGAATGATATACATCATTGCATCTCTACATCTTTCCAGGCTTCATAAAACTGTACCTTTCCAAAAGTGTTAGATTCTGCCAAACTGAAGCCCTTTTCAGAACTGAATATGGAATTAGACAGTGTAACTACCCATTCCATCATAAAGGCAGTAAGAAAACAAGTTGAAAGTTTGAATAAGACTGTCACAATCCTCATGAAAATGATGTATCCAGAAGTATACAGGTTGGATTCATCCTTCATTTCTTTGGGTGGGAGCTGCATACTTACTGCCTGGGTAGCTAATGTCTATCATATGATAAGCACCTGTCTTCATTCTCACTGGCAATTTTAAATAGAATTCAATGCCAGAACTTGATGTTTTTCACCAATCCTAATTAGAAACATGGCTTACTTTTATTTTTGAACAAAAATGTACTTGTTCAAAGATCTGTAACTTAAAAATTCTTACTACAGCTTGGCAATCCGATAGCTTTGACTTTCTTAGTTCCCCTATTTCGACTTTTCTTCCTGAGAAGCCTACTGCCTCTTTGACATAAATTCTTCCTCACTGACCCAAGTGGAGGCAGTGAATGCTTCCTAATTATTTTAGCACAGCTGATTTTATGCTCTTTGCATAAGAAAGGAGAACTATCAATTTGGACTGTCTTTCTGCATTTCTCACTCTCTGTATGGTTAAAGCCTGGACTTTTCTCACTCCCTTGCAATACTTCCTTCCTTTACACTTAACTTTTAGTTCCAAGGCAGGCTGTGGTACCTGCTCCCGGCCTCCTGTTTATATATCATAATGTCCTATCACCTTTTTTTTTCAGAGATCATCACTGGTATGCCAGCCTCAACTGAAGGAGCATATGTGTCTTCAGGTAAGGAAAATAAGCCTGGCAAATTTTACTAACCAGAATGACAACCATAACTGCTGGCTGCTCCTTCTACTAATCAGAACCCCTTCTGCATCCAGACCTCTCAGCTGCTCTTGTTTTCTGCTTCAATATTTTTCTCAACCTTGTTCTGTCTTTTTGGATTTTACTTAAGGGAGGATGGTTCTTGCTGTGTCTTCAAACTTAGGCCTGAGAAACATACATGAGTGAAAGAAATCTATATCTAGGTGCAACTTAATGACATTAAGCAAGTAAAGGAGATATATCTGAGTTACAAGCTCAGTTTTTATGTCTTTCCAGGTGATTCTCTTAGCTGCCTTCTACTCTTTCACCCCTCAGAGTGTATTCCTGGGTAATTTGTCAACATCTGATCCGTGACCTTTGGGTTTCTAATAATCAGTTGTGGATCGCTAAACTTAACAAAACAAAACAGAACAGAACAGAACAAAACAAAACAAAAAGACTTACAGCCTTTAAAAATGCTGTTGTCTTTGTTTTGGTTGGTTTCTCACTTGCCTGTAGTATTTGCTGATAGCACTTATAGTCTGAGCAGATATTAGCAACTTAGAACCCAACTCTAGCAATGCATATATAACCATAATTCATTGATTTCTTCACAAGCTATGAATTTAATCTATCCTCTATGTATTTCATTTTTTAAACTTTTTCTTATTCTTTGTAATGCTATAATTAATAGAGCCTTAGAACATTTAAAAATTAATCTTTATTTGGAAGAAAATTTTTGAAGACCCAAGATTGGAAATTCATCTCAGAGGTACAATGGTAATTTGGTTTTGCATGGTGCCTTTTCTTTTACAAAAATTCTTAAATTTCATTTGATAATCACAATAAACTTGTGAAACAAGACATCATTTTTCCTCATTTTACAGATGAGAAAACTGAAGTATTAGAAATGTTAAGTCATATACCTCAGGAAGTAGAAGAGAAGGTATTTCAAGTTCGATATTCTTTTTATTACTCCACATTTAATATTTTAGCTTCATTGAGTTTTTCATTATGGCTGGTACCTTGTTGAAACTATAGAATGACCTATAATCAACATGTCTTTTTCCATCTTACCTCCATCATTTCCTCTTCCCTTCAAAGCCATTTTTTAAAACCATAAAAGCTAAACATCTCTGTATCCTAGACTACTTTAGCTATATTTAGGACATATTCATATGTCATTACTAAGATATAAGTGTATGTGTGTTGCGGAATGGTATGATCCTGGAGTCTAAGAGGTTGTTACTCTTCTGAGGAAAGGAAGGAAGGAAAAAAGAGGAAAAGAGAGAGAAAAAAAGAAAAAAAATCACATATTCTAAATTTCTTCACCTTTCATTTACACGTTTCTGTAATATAGGGACTTCGTTATCTGACTCCAGTAAATGCCATTAGGAAAAAAAGAGCTTTTACATTTATATGGAACTTATCTTGGGAAATTGACTATAACTATTATTTCTTAATATGTGACTTGAATCTTGATAACTTTCTGGCTGTTGACTTTCAATCCTTCTTTGATACTAAGACTTCTTTATTTCTTACTAATGAAAACCCATCCGTTCCATGCTTTTTTCGGCATGAGTCATATTTTTCATTCTCTCTGTACTTAATGACTGTTTTTTCTTCTTTTATCTTTGCTACCTGAGAAAATCTTGCTACTAGATATCCCCAACTATTGTATGATTTATTTAATTAGCATGGTTTGTTTGATCCTAATGTAATTATTCTATTGCTCTAGCAGACTTTGCATGGACTTTTCAGCACTTTCTGGTCCGGATGTTTATGCAGATCCAAGTTGCCTGGAAATACTCTCAATCTTGTTTGTTTATTTATTTGGCATGCATGAAAATTGGCTTTCACTCTCTTGGAATCCAGGGGCTATTCTCTTTGGTTTCATGTTTTCTCAAAATCAAGACCACATCTGAAAGAAGGAATTTTCTTTCTCACCTGTGGTGTGTATCTCCTCAGAGTAGTCTCTCTTGGAAGTTCAGATAATGCTTGGTGTGTGGGATATTCTTACAGATGGATTGACTCCATTTTCATCCCTTTTAAAAGTCTTTGGGTCTAGACTATGGTAATATTCCTTTGTGGTCTTTGAGTATTGCATTCTGACTTATAAATGCTTCAGCTTCTCTGTTGCACGGTGTTCTACTACTCTTTTACTAGGCGATACCCAAGCCTGGCAAATTTCTAATTTATGAGTCCAAGCAGCATGACTCAATAAAGCCTCATTCCACTTTTATGTTTTATAGAGTCTCCCATTAGAATATCAGTATCCACAGAAGGAGCAAATACTTCTTCATGTAAGTATACTTAAATATTCTATTCACTGGTTTTTAACCCAAGGCACTATCTGCTTTGGAAGGTCATGTTCACGTCTATCTTCTGCCCCTATTAAGGGTCAGAGTATTGAGTTTGGCAATAGGTGGTATTTGCTGTTTGGAGTAGAAATGGCCTCCTAATATGCTTAAGGACAACTAGACATCCTGTCCTCCCAATATACATAAGAATATTAAAATACACCACAAATGTATCAGTTTTAGGGTAATCTGGTGGCTTTGAATATTGAAAAATAATTGCACAAGTTCTGAGGCCTAATTCCTGGCAAGCAGTAGAGCACATTGTGTGTCTTTTCAGCTTCTCTGGATGCCTTCAGCAACTGCCTGAGGCATGATACCCAGCTGTTTGGAGCTTCCGTTCCAAAACTTCTTCATTCTCATATAAAGTTAGCTGTGATGGAGTAAGAAAACTATATATAGATGCCCTTAATTCAAATTTGATAGCAAGTAACTGATTATGAAAATGTTTGAAAGCAAGCCCCTAGGCAAGATCTCAGATTAGTTTTCGTCTATTTAATGTGAAATGGGCTTTGTGCTTGTGGACTTCTATAACTGTTAGATTGATTGGGGTTTTGTGCTATGTCGGGGGAACTTAAAATATTAGCAAGGACTAGTATAAAGAGTTTTTGATACTTATAAATTGAGAATATCATCGTATTAAATTTTGATACTCAACAGGGGAGTTTATCAAACCTTGAAAATTAAACTTATAACTACAGTCTTTCTCTTCCTTATGTTAGCTCCTTATTTAAAGCATTTCTCAATTTGATAAGCTCTTCAATAAATAGATGTTCCTAGTTATTCTATTTCGATCTGGGGAGTGTGTTGAAGGAACAATTTCCTTTTGCTATCAGCAGGGTAGGAAAACTCATGAAAAGAAAGTCTGTCCTTTTGGCAATTTAAGTTGTTTTGTCAATCTGTTTAAATAAATCCTGTTTGATGTTACAGCCTTTCCCTCCAGGTTGGTGATACTAGAACTGTAACTATATGGTATAAAATTATCTTTTATTGTGTGAAGTATGGTGTTTTGGCTATATTTTAACTACATAAAGCGTCATTTAACTGGATTGATGGCAATAGCCTGGTGAGATCAAACAGGAAATGAAATGCTAGAAAGGGCCAAATTAGTTTCCTATGTGTTCCAAGGGCTCTCATCATATCCTCCAAAATGATAATTTCTGCCGGGGAATTTGTGCTATTTGTTTTTTAATTCTACTTATAAAAAGATTAGTATAATTATATGGATTTTATGTAGCTAGCATCCAGGAATCACATTGAGCTTTTTTTTTTTAAGTGTTTATTCTGCAGAAGCAAATACTAGGTTTTTCTTTTTTGGCATTTTGTCTGGAAATAATTTCTCTCCTGTGTGATTCATTGAATAAAGTTATTGAAACTCTTGTAATTGGAACCCTTCATGCTATCATCAATGGGACCATAGATACTATCCTTAAGCATATCTGAGCAGTTTGAGAATGTAAAAAAATACTTTTGGTTTTCCCAAGCTTTGGGGAACTGAAATAAATCTCTCAGTTTATGTTTCTATTCATTGCATTATCACTGAGAGAGAAATAATTATGAAATCTGACTCCATTCCCTAATTCTCAGTAGAATTAGTTTTTGATATTTGGCAATGGTTTAAAACTAAGAAAGGAAGCTTTGTGTACCATGATATTAAAATATTTCAATGTGCCATTTTCACACATCAGTCACCCGGGGTCATGGTAAGTTCTCAGTAAATATGGTTGAATTGATTCATGAACACATTTTTTTGTGGAACTTAATTTTATTAGGAGAATATAAACAATGAATATAATAAACTAGTAACACGATATATTAGAAGGTGCTACGTAGTCCAAAAATGAGAAACAGTAGAGGAGGGGAGGGGATAAGGAGAGTTGAAACTTGTGATTTTTATTAGGTTGATCAAGGTAAGTCTCATTAAATTGTTGATATTTGGACAAAAAGTGGAAAGAAGTGAAGGGTTAACTTTGCAAACATCTAGGGAAACTGGCTGGGCATGGTCGCTCATGCCTATAATCCTAGCATTTTGGGAGGCCAAGGCGGGAAGATTGCTTGAGCCCAAGAGTTTGAGGCCAGTCTGGGTAACATTAGTCAGACCTCAGCTCTACAGAAAATTGAAAACTTAGCTGGACTTGGTGGCATGCACTTGTAGTCCCACCTTCTTGGGAGGCTGAGGTGGGAGGATCACTTGAACTCAGGAGGTTGAGGCTGCAGTGAGCTGTGATTGTGCCACTGCACTCCAGCCTGGGTGACAGAGGGAGACTCTGTTTCAAGAAAAACAATCAAACAAACAAACAAAAAAACATCTGGGGAAACTGTATTTAGGCAAAGAACAGGCTGTACAAAGGCCCTTAGACAAAAGCATGGCTCATGTGCCGTGTAGGGGACCATAAGGAGCCCTGTGGGGTTGGAGTAGAAGGAACAAAGGGATGAAATATAGAAGATGAGGGCCACAGACCCTGGGGTCTGAGCATGTAGTGCCTTGTAGGCCATTGTCAGGACATTGGTATTTAATGGAATCACTCTGGCTCCTGTGTGAAGAATGGCTCACTGGGAGGAAGGGTAGAATCCAGGATCCCAGTTAGGTGGCTTTTGCTGAGAGCATAGTGGCCTGGCCCAGGCTGGTAGCAGTAGAGGTGGCAAAAAAGTCAGTCTGTAATAGTTTGAAAGTCAAGCCAGCAAGATTCCCTAACCAATTCATTGTGAGGTGTTAGAGAAAGAGAAAAGCCATAGGTAAAACCAAGGCTGCTTTTGTTTTTGGTTTTTAACTTTTGGTGTTCCATTTGATTTTCTTCTTTGGCTTTTTCATTATACTTCTTCATATTAACTATTGTTTTACTTGTTTTTTTATAATTACAATATGCATGTTTTACTAATCCTAGTGTGTTTTTTAAAATTTTAGATTCAGCGGGTACATTGGCAGGTTTATTACATTTTTTAATCTCATGAAAATATGCTCTTCAGTTTGAAAATATAAACCAGTCGTGGCAGGAACCAGGTCCAGTCTTAGTTACAATAATGAAAATAGCATGAAGCACACAGTCCATTTCAAGGCAGCCACACGCAGGACTTGCATTGCAGGGAACGACTGTGAGGTACAAATATCTCCATTTAGTAAAGGCTGAAGGTGAACCTTGAAGAGTCAGCAATAACAATAAGCCAAACTCAAAAATGCCAAATATATAAAAAAGTCAAAGGCCTCAGAAAAGTTTGCCTGGTCAAAAATAATCAGCTTCAAAGAATAGATTTCTTTTCACTTTATTTTAGCCAGCAAGGAGATGCTAGTAAATCCCTGTATTTGAAAAGCGAACTCTGCTTTTCTAATGTGATTGTGCCTGTACCGGCTACATTCTTTGAACTAATGACATTGGTGTTTTCTAAAGTAAATGTTGAAAAGCCTCTCTGAAGTAGTATGGATTCAGCAAACATTTTATGTATTAAACAGTTCTCTGCGATTTGGGGGTCAGTGTAAGACAGGGGAGGCTTTCAGAGCAAACAGATATAGGCAGAGGAGATGGATCTGACTTCACAGCCCCCAAAGTTCCCTTTTTTCCTCTTTAACTCATGTTGGATTAGAAGAAAAAAAAAAAAAAAAAAAGAGCAGGCATGGTGGCTCATGCCTGTAATCCTAGCACTTTGAGAGGCCAAAGAGGGAGGATAGCTTGACACCAGGAGTTCGAGACTAGTCTGGGCAACACATTGAGACCTCATCTCTATAAAAAAATAAAGAAATTAGCCAGGCTTGGTGGCAGCCCTGAAGTCTCAGCTACTTGGGAGGCTGAGGTGGGAGGATCACCTGAGCCCGGGAGTTTGAGGCTGTCCTAAGTTATGGTTGAACCACTGCACTCCAGCCTGGGCAACAGAGCGAGAACTTGTCTCTCTTAAAATAAAAACAAACAAAAAAAGAAAGAAAGAAAAAGAAAAAAACAAAAAGAAGAAAATAGAAGTCACTCACCTACCCTTCTACCTACTTAATATATTATAAGCATTTTTCTCATGTTTTTAAATAGTAATCAGAAATATATTTTATAGGTCACTGTAACAATAAAGAAATCATTCTTGACTGGAGGTTTTTAAGGGATTTTTTCATTTACAAACACATTATCGGTTTTGCCCCCTTTCTGTTTATTTTTCCTACCACTTGTAAATATTAGTGAAATATCAAAGTTCTTAGTCCTTCCCTTTGTAAGACAATTTTTACTACTCAATTTTTGGAAATTGGAAACTTCCATTGTTCATTCACTAGTTTAGAGTTGTTAATTATATTTTTAAGTTCTTTATACTAATCTAATAAAGATCAAAATTATAATTTTCTTTATTTTCTTTTGTTTTTTGTAAATGAGGCATCTGTGACTAAAAACTTATAAATAATTGCCTAAATGAGTTTTCTATTACATGTAAGTGACAAGTTTTAGGAGAAGAACTTGAACCTTACAAAACAGTCAATAGGACTATCTTGCTGCTCCTTTTATAGAATCAGCAGAAGTAAAGTGATTGTTTGGAACAAGCCTTAATGACTTCTTCTGGAGATGCCAGCTGCTGGTAGCCCCATTTTGCAGACAATTCTGTTGAATACCATAAAAAATTGTTATACCAACCACTTTGCTGAATTAAGCACCATCCATTCCAATTTAATACATAAATGAGGAAAACAAAACGGAAAATCTAACAAATAGTAATAGGAAAGAAAATCAAGATAAATCCCGGGAAAACAGTTGAAGTGGTAATATCTGTTTCAAATATGAATAACAGCAAGCATTTATTGAAGGCTTACTGTGTGCCAGGTGTTGTGCTAGATGTTTTACATGGATGATGACTCATGGTTATCATGAAAACTTATTACACTGTACGTTGAAACTGATACATGTTGTCCAAAGTCACACAGCAGCATTTAACCCCAGATAATGCAGTGGACTGCTATGTCACATAACGTTTTGCTGCCTCAAAGAAAAAGCCCTTACTATTGAAAGAAATGGGATTCTGTGAGTGGATTGAAAGGTAGCCTTTGGCACCAAGTTTATTGGGAGTATATGTGGTGGATTCAAGTAAATGACTTGTCTGGGGCCAGTTGTACCCAAGTGATCTTCATGTTACACGTCAAAGCATGGCAGGTGAATGAAATGGGAAGAGCACAAATGCTGAGTGGACTCATGCTCTTAAGTCTAAATACTAATGCTGAGGACAATCGCGGTGGCTCATGCTTGTAATCCTAGCACTTTGGGAGGCCATAGTGGGAGGATTGCTTGAGCAAATTGATCATTTGAGCCCAGGAGATTGAGGTTTCAGTAAGTCATGATCTCACTACTACACTCCAGCCTGGGCAACAGAGACCCTGTCTCAAAAATAATAAAAGAAATAAATTCTGGTGCTGCTAATTACCGTATAATTTTAAACAAATTATGTGACTTCCCTGAGACTCAGTTTCATCTCTCCTCTCCTCTCCTCTTCTTTTCTGTTCTGTTCTTTTCTTTTCTTCTTTTGACAGGGTTTCTCTCTGTCACCCAGGCTGGAGTGCAGTAGTGCACTCATGGCTCACTGCAGCCTTGACCTCCTGGGCTCAAGCCATCTTCCTTCCTCAGCCTCCCTAGTAGCTGGGACTACATGCGTGTGCCACCACACCTGAGTAATGTTTTTTAGAGACAGGGTTTCGCCATGTTCCCCACACTGCTATTGAACTCCTGGGCTCAAGTGATTCACCCATCTCAGCCTACCAAAGCGTTGGAATTGCAGGCATAAGCCACCATGCCTGGCCCCGAGATTCAGTTTCTAGGTCTGAAGAATGCTATTTATTTTAAACATATATTGGGAAGTCTAATGTGAGAAAATGCATGTATATCATTTAGCACAACTTTGCTTTAAGATGGTCCCTTCATGTATGGAAGAGAGCTAGTGTGTGGAAAAGTGACATGGCTCTAAAAAGAGAATAAAAGTCAGAGAGTCTCTACATCTTACTTCAACAACGTTGGAAAATGCCCTTATTGTTGGAGAAGGAAACGAGTTTATGATTTTAGCCTAAGTGATGATGCTGACAGTTCTTTGCCAGGAAATCACTATGTCTTTTCAAAATATTATATATTCTCAGCTAAGGCTTCATTTTACAGGAACTAATCCAGGAAGTCTTCTATGAAATCTCTGAATGAAATGAACAATTCAGTTTTTAATTTGGCACCTAAAAAAGCTAGCTGAAGGAAAAGAATGTCTTTGCAGAGACATTTCTGTCATAATGAGATAGAATGGTTTCACTTGGGAATAGCACACTAATATGTATTGATTAGATTGGACCAGATCTGGGTGGTCCATTGGTGGAATTTAGACCCATGGCTCTTACATTCTACCCTCAGTTGTAACTGACTTACCTGCTTTTATGGTAGAAAAAAACTTCTGGGAGCTTAGCTAAATGATTCTTAGCTGGAAAAATGCCATTTCAATTTCAGATGTTTATTGGTCATAACATGTGAACCTCTCCTGCCACTGTTGGAGAGCTACTTTTAATTGAATGCAAATTGTGTTTTCAGATTTCTATAAACATGGCATTTTTCATGGGTTGGTGGCTCTGCCCACTGTGGAGAATGACAAACAAATTATCATGCATCATATAGCAATAAAATAATAATTCAAAAAGAAAATTGCCCTACTCATATTACCTCATCTTTTTGGTTGGCTGGAGAGTTACTTACAGATTTTTAGGATACTAGAGTGACTTGGTGCAAGAGTTGGGGCTCGTATATTATAGCCATTCATAGGTGCAAGCAAGTTACTGCCTTCACAATCAGTTCTTTTATTCTGTATATGAATATATCTTCTTTTTCTTTTTTAAACAATACTGCTTGCGAGTATAATTTATTTCTTCACTTCTGCCTTTGCCCTTTCTAAAGTCATTCACTGTCTATCATTGCATTCCACCAGTGGAGGAGAGAATCTAAAAAGTTTTGATTAAGCTTTGACCTTTCGTACTGGTTGAAATTAACGCTTTACAGAATTATTCTTTTGGACCATAAAATATGTGTGTGCATGTGTGTGTATGTGTATGAGATATAGATATAGATATAGATATAGATCATTGATACTTGCATCATACTTTACATTTTATAAGGCATATTTTCTTATTTTGAGTCATTTATTTATACAACTCAGTGGCTTAGATTTCATCCCATGGATGAGGGACTTGACGTTCAGAAATCTGTGACTTGTCCCAAGTCAAAGAACAAATAGGTAGTTCTAAAAAGAAGAGAAAGTCTACTCCTTATCTAAACAGCACATTTTAGGGAAGAATCTGATTGGCCCTGATTGCATCATGTCTGACCCTAAAATACTGCATCCAGGGAGATTAATGCCTCCAGCTGAGTGGGGGCTGGGGCACATATCCACTGCTGTGTGTGTTGGGGTTAGTGAGGGCAGATGGGCTCAGCCCCATGGGAACCACATGGTGTAGAATCATTACAGAGAGGAGAGTTCTGTAGCAAAAGAAGGGAAAAGTGAGCTAGACAGGAAAACAACAACACAATCATTGACAACTGATAAGCAAACAACCTTAGAAAAATCAGAAAATAGGTATTAGTAACAGAATTTTAAAGGAAAATTAAAAATAGGTGTTGTTGAAAATTGTGTTTCATTGGGCAGACAAAACTAAGCAGGATGAGCAATCTGAAGAAAATAATAAGCTGGAAAACTGAATATAATTGCAGTATCATTTTTTTAAAAGACTCATTAGTACCTATGAGCCATTATAATTACTCTTAACAGTGCCCTCTTTTTAACCCAGGAAATTCTGCATTTTGAAAGAAAGTAGAAAAACGTAGACAAATGAGTTACAGTTTTGAAATTAGAATGCATGGGAAGCATTTTGAAATCTGTAAAATATTCTACCTTTGATGTCAAAAGTCAGAGTACTTGATATGGATCCTTTAAAAAAAATCCATGATTGAGGAGATTTTGAAAAATTCCTAGTTTCTTTTACCAGAGTAATTGTATGTTGATTAGGGTTTGGGTGTTTTTTGTTTTCAATTTGGAAAGAAAAAGAGCGTGCTTAGCCCATTCCATATAATATTGTATAGAAAACTCACCAGGTCTTGTTCAATTGTGAGATAACACTGATTGAGGTTTTATCAGACTTATAGACATCACCATTTAAACCTAAACGAAATAACAACTCCGGTAGTTCATCTGTGGGCATCTTCCACTTTTCTCTGTCCCACTCTGTTATAATGCACCTCCCATACAAGCTGTGAATACTTAATTCATTTCTTTAATAACTTGCTGTGTATACATAGTTTAGCTAATCATCAAAAGTGTTGGAATGCCACTTTTCATTTTATCTCTTAGTCTACCAAAGGTCAGCAAACTCTCAAAAACCAATTAATTGGGTCACTGTGGCTTATAGCCTAGAGCTATGCTCATCTTTATTCAAGTCCATAACCATCTCTGATTTCAGGTTTGGTGTTTAGGTTGAATTTATCCATCAACGATGGGCTCTTTGGTTTGTTCTTTGCTGAGGTATTCTAGCACTACCTCTTGAGTGAATACCAAACTTTAAAGAGCTTTTTAAGAAATGTCAGAAGGAGAGAGCGAGAGAGAGAATGCCTGGCTTTGTGAAATGTTGCAGAAATTTGTATTTGTAATTATCACAAATTTAATCAGTCTTTCCTTTAAATTTTTAAAGCAATTTTGGACTATTCTCATTATTTCAATGGTAGGGAAAGTAACATATAGATAGGGATAGGCCAAGTGACACTTAAGGTCAAATAGCAAGTGAGTGGTGAATGTAGGTGAATTAAAATTGGATGGCCCTGTTTTTGCTGTTTGATCCTTAGATCACTGAAAACTTTCCCTCTCTTTTTTTTTTTTTCTTTTTTCTTTTTTTTTTTTTTCTTGAGACGGAGTCTAGCTCCGTCGTCAGGCTGGAGTGCAGTGGTGTGATCTCGGCTCACTGCAACCTCGGCCTCCCGGGTTCAAGCGATTCTTTTGCCTCAGCTTCCCAAGTAGCTGGGATTACAGGTGCGTGCCACCACGCCTGGCTAATTTTTGTATTATTAGTAGAGATGGGGTTTCACCATGTTGGCCAGGCTGGTCTTGAACTCCTGACCTCAAGTGATCTGCCCACCTTGGCCTCCCAAAGTGCTGGGATTACAGGTGTTAGCCACTGCGCTTGGCCAAAACTTTCCCTCTCTTTAATGAAAATGAATAGATAATAACCAGGTCCTACTATATTTCAGCATGAGGCTAGGAAATGTGTATGCATATTTCTTGGGAAGTGGGAGGTGGGAGGTGTAATGATTGGGGGAGATAAATAGGAAATAGTCCTTGGGCTGAAGGAGTTCGCAGCAAAGTAAAAAGTTTAATTGTGATTAATTGTGCATAATGACACGTAATCATAATGGGAAGTAAAATATGGCAAGAGGAAGACTTTCAAATTAAGTTTTTTTTTTTTTTTGTAATATTCCTTAAGATAGAAAAGCCAGCCGGGTGCGGTGGCTCACACCTGTAATCCCAGCACTCTGGGAGGCAGAGGCAGGTGGATCACAAGGTCAGGAGATCGAGACCATCCTGGCTAACATGGTGAAAGCCCATCGCTACTAAAAATACAAAAAATTAGCTGGGCATGGTGGCGGTTGCCTGTAGTCCCAGCTACTGGGGAGGCTGAGGCAGGAGAATGGCGTGAACCTGGGAGGTGGAGTTTGCAGTGAGCCAAAATCGCGCCACTGCCCTCCAGCCTGGGCGACAGAGCAAGACTCATCTCAAAAAAGAAAAAAAAAAATAGAGAAGCCATTTGTGGTTATGTAATTTAAAAGAAAATTTTGGCCAGGTGTGGTGGCTCATGCCTGTAATTCCAGCACTTTGGGAGGCCAAGGCGGGCGGATCACTTGAAGTCAGGAATTTGAGACCAGCCTGGCCGACATGGTGAAACCCTGTCTCTACTAAAAATACAAAAATTAGCCAGGCATGGAGGCACATGTCTGTAATCCCAGCCACTTGGGAGGCTGAGGCAGGAGAATTGCTTGAACCTGGGAGCGGAGGTTGCAGTGAGCTGAGATCGCACCACTGCACTCTGGCCTGGGTGACAGAGCAACACTCTATCTCAAAAAAATAAAAATAAAAAAGGAAAAGAAAATATTATTATTATTACTATTTTTATTATTATTATTTTACTGTTGTCTGTCTCCTAAAATAGCAAATTGTTGTTTCTACTTCATATTTATAGGTCATTTTACTAAGAAATCAGAATCCTGAAATTTATCTCATTTTAAAAGATGATGACATTCTATAATTTACCGTCAAGAATAAAAGATTAGTGATGATTGAAGGTGCTGGAAATTAATTTACACTAAATAGCATTTTGAAAATAGTTTGGGGAACTTTCTGAAATATAACTAGAAACTTTTAGAAAAACATGACTATAGTATGGTAAGTTGAATCATTGTTGATGAGCAGACACTTATCCTTGATACAGAGATGGATTTGCAAAGGCTATGTTACATATCCGAGGAGATACTTTTGTTTAGGCCATCTGGAAATGTGTGTATATGAAAAGGTTGCAATTTTATTTTTTTAATAGAGACCAGGTCTTACTATGTTGCCCAGACAGGTTTCAAACTTCTGGGCTCAAGTAATGCTCCCACCTCAGCCCCAAAGTGCTGGGATTATAGACGTGAGCCACCATACCCAGCTTGCAATTTCCTGAACTTGTTTTATTCATTAAGTAAGACTAGTTTTGTTTTTTAATTTTTATTTTTTAAAGACTTGAGTTGATCCAAAGAAGAGAGAAGTGGTAAATTTTAAAAAGGATGCCTAGTTATAATCAAGGAATCCAGTAAAGTAAATTAATCTGTTAAAATTATAAAACAAAAATTTTGCCTGTATGATCATTCCTCCCTCAATTTTCTTAAAATTCATGTATTAAGAGCAGTGACTAACTGACAAGAAGCTTCTGTGCCATTTGATAAAGATTTCAACTACAAATGGGAATTAAGGTATATTAAAAAATAAAATTCTGCATGACAAAATATTTAAAATGTTAGTTTTTAATGTTCTACACAAATATTGTCCTACATTTTAACCTAGAAATCTACGTATTGAATCAGCCTATAAAAATCCATTTCTTTCACAAATAATGTAGCTTTGAGAACAGATTTTTTTCAATAATTCTCAGTCTACAAAGCTATGAAAAGGAAGTTGCTGTTGCTGCATTTTTTTTAAGCTGTAAAATCTAATATGCCCCAGCTCTGATGAAATGTACCAGGAGGAACCTGCCTTGTCAAACAGGATATTTTTATGATGAAATGTGATACGAAGAGGCATAGCCTTACATATATCTGAGAGAAAATTATTTAAGTGGCCATAATAGATTTTTCAGAAATTTTGTACATTTCTCTTATTTGATCCAGATGCATTTTTTTCCTCTGTTGTTCTCATACCAGCTTCTTAATTTCACCTCCCTAATGTTCCACAGCATAAATACATCTTTGTTCAGAGTTTCTCCAAGTTATCTGTGAGAAAATAAACTATACAAAGGGTCCCTGGGTATGTTTTAGGATACATAGATTATGGGGGTGGGAGAGTTACCTTGTGTGTGCAAATGAGACTGTATGTGAAACGAAGATAAGGTTTGGAGGGAAATAGATGATTCAAAGATACCTAAGAGGTTTATTAAGACCTTTAAAAATGATTTTACAGTGCCTGTAAAGAGGACTGATATTTAAACTCATTCAGCTTAGTGAAAAAAATGAAGAAAAATGGAAAGTAACATGCACTACATGTGTACACACAGAAACAAGTATAATAAAACTTTCTGCCCTTTTTTTTTTTTTTTTTGATATGAAGTCTCGCTCTGTCACCCAGGCTGGAGTGCAGTGGCATGATCTCGGCTCACTGCAACCTCTGCCTACCCGGTTCAAGCGATTCTCCTGCCTCAGTCTCCTGAGCAGCTGGGATTACAGGTGTGCACCACCACACCTGGCTAATATTTTGTATTTTTGGTAGACACAGGGTTCCACCATGTTGGCCAGGCTGGTCTCAAACTCCTGACCTCAAGTGATCCACCCGCCTTGGCCTCCCAAAGGGCTGGTATTACAGGCATGAACCACCACGCCCAGCCCCTGCTTATTTTTTAAGGTTTCTAGAACATTGGCTGTGAACTTTTGGGTAAATAGTGCACATAACTCTTCTCCTTCCTTTTTATTTGAAGTGCAGACCTGGGTATATTTTATTAAAATAATGGTCTGAAATTATAAAAAATGTTCTTTGTCCAATCAAGGAGTAAAATCAAACCTTGTATTATTTTGTAGTTATACTCAGATGTTAGACTATCTTCTAGTCCCCAGCAGTTCACTCTAGGTGGTCCCATAGCTCTTGCTTGAACCACAGTCTTGCCACTTCTTATCCATAGTGATGTGCACATCAGTTCCCACACCAGAATGTAAAATACTAGAGGGAAGAATTTTGGTTGATTTGTGTTTCTATTCCCATAACTTATTACTATGCCAGTTCCCAGGGAGTATTTATTAAATGGATGTCAATATCAACAGTGAGTTAATGAATTTTTTTGTTGGATTATCATTTTTTAAGTTGTACACATTTACAATGAAAAGAAAACCACCTTCACTTTAAATCATGGGCACAGATATTTAAGTATTTTAAAATCAAAGTTTTAAAAAACTAACATTGGCTTAAATAATATTTATTAGAGAACTTGTAACATTTTAAGAAGCATTCACATTCTACCTATGTATATTTTAAATTTATTTCTGTTTTTTACATCTGGAAGATTTTTTTCATTTTATCATAAATACTTGTTTTCATGGTAATTTATAAAAATCAGTTTCTCCTTTGATAGGATTATTACAAATTATTTCAGAATCTACTTATTAACTGGTCGCTGTTCCTCTCTGTAGTGCTGAAGAGGCACTTGCTTGGGAACAAGAGAAGTGCCGCAACAGTGTCAATAACATGGATTTTTCATTTATTATCTTTAATAATAATAATAGATGACAATAATATATTTTAATAAGCATCTACTATGTGTCAGATGCTTTCTTCTGAGAATGGATATTGTTAGTCCCATTATGTAGATGTAGAGACTGATACTCAAGACAATTCAATATTTGTCAAGTAGTGGTAGAAGCAGGATTTAACCTCAGTCTTTCTGACTCTTCATCCTGTGTTCTTTTCACCCACAGATGGTAGAGGTTGAAGGCTCAGAAGAACACTTTTTGAGCTCAGAAAGCTCTTCTTGTGACCTCTATGCTACTAGTCTAAAGGGCAAATGATAATTGCAGCTACTTTCAGAAATGGTCCTTTTTCCCTAATGAGATGACCAAATCTGCTTTATGAACCCAGTTTCCTAAGCAAGATACAGAAATAGACACACCAATTTAGTATGATAAAAGGTGTTAAAGGTAGAACAATTTTAGGTACCAAATTATATTTATTTGATACTTGGATAATTTAAAAATAATGCCACAAACTTCATCCCATCTACCTCCCAGTGCGCACACATTTGGGATGAAGAGATAATGATGAGAATGACATTGTAGATAAAAGGTATATGCATTAAACATCTGAAATGCTTAGGTTATTCAAAGAAAAGAATAAACACACCATGTGATATGTAGCCTCAGCTACTTCATGTTTGAAGTTGATGGTAACATTCAGATCAGTTTTGAGAAGCAGACTGCAACCATAGCTTTTAGTTTAAGTTTCAGATTGATATGGAAGGTTATTTGTTTTAACAATCCCTATGTTAAGTTTTCTTTTTTCTATGTTTCAATTGACTTATTTTGTCAGATTTTAGGTTTTTTTTTTTTTTTCAGGCAAGATGGCATTCTCATCCCTGCTGTTGTTAACATTTAAAGCATGCAGCCTCTTGTGCTGTGGTGTAAATTCCAACTGACTGACGATAATTAAACAGAAAATGAAACTTGAATGGCACTATCTCAAAATCTACTTAAAGCCACAACAGGTATCTGCCTATAGCAATATATCAGTTGGAACACATGAAGAATAAGAAATTGTAGCATTTTGTGTCTGGGTTTATTTTTCTTTGAAATCAAAGAAGAAAAATACTGATTTTTCCTGGATCACTAAAACAGTAGTATGGATTTCTAAACAGGGCAGACCATACAAACACACAATTAATTATATCTGAACTTGAAATCTCATACTGTGCACTTTACCTCTTTTATACCAGTTGTAATTTCTCATTTATGTACAGATACTGTAGTAACTTTTTTTAAAAAAAAGAATGTATTATTGTAATTAAAAAGCAAATACTCAAGAAAGATAAGACACAAAGGATTAATTGGGATTACAACTCTTCTTTCTGTATTGAGTGCAAAAGCTTGGTGATCTCCTGAATTGTGCTTCAACAGTGACCTCAAGGCTCCTTCCAACCCCCAAGGCTCTCCTTTTTTAACATTTGTTATTACTTAGCTATTTTATTTGGCAGGGATCCCTTCTATCTCATCTTCTAATGCACTGGCAATGATCCTATTGCCAATAGCTTAGAGCCTACTGCTGCTGGGGTAAGCGACACAGCCGAACTTTCTAGCCTCTGCATCCTTATAAATAATGCATCTGGTTTCCTGTAACTACATGAACTCTTAGACTTTAGTAGGCATTTCTTTGTTAGTCAGGGTAAAAGAGTTGGGAGATGAACAGTTGTGGAAATAGTTATAGGCAGTTATTATCACTGATTAGAACCTGAGTCCATGACATATGCATTAATCACTGGGTTAATGCTAATGGAATGCTTATGGTATTTATAGTAGATATAAATAAGATATAGAAAAAGAATATCTTTGCTGACCAAACTGCATGCTTAATTCAACATGGAAAGTTCTGGTGAGGTTAATCTAGGACGCTTTGAGACTCCGTTGCTCATAATTGGACCTGATTTACTACTCATTTAAAAAATCTCTTTTAATTTGCGCAGAATTCGCTGGCTTTTTGGGGGTGGACACACTTGTTCTTAAGAACAATAGCAACAAGATCTTTGTTTAACATAATATCTAATGCTCCATGTAACTTAGTGGTATAACAAATTATTCAATTTGTAATGAAAAAGGTAAATGCTGTGTTAATAAGTTAATAGCAAAGTAAATAATGCATATTTATACTTTTGACTTCAAAGTGTTTATAAACTTATGGCATTAAAAAGTAATGTTTTATTTTTGAGCATCAGAGAAAATAGTATTTAAACAAGAGAAACCGATTTTTAAAGTGAAAATCATTTTAGCAACATTTTAAAATAAGCCACGTTAATATAAAATAAGTGAGTTCCATCGAAGTATACACTCTTTTCTTCACTAGACGTGCCTTAATTGGACATGTCACTGGCCAGGCGTGGTGGCTCACACCTGTAATCCCAGCACTTTGGGAGGCCAAGGCGGGCGGATCACCTGAGGTCAGGAGTTCGAGACCAGCCTCAACATGGAGAAACCCCGTCTCTACTACAAATACAAAATTAGCCGGGCGTGGTGGTGCATGCCTGTAATCCCAGCTACTCGGGAGGCTGAGGCAGGAGAATTGCTTGAACCTGGGAGGCAGAGGTTGCGGTGAGCTGAGATCACGCCATTGCACTCCAGCCTGGGCAACAAGAGCAAAACTCCATCTCAAAAAAAAAAAAAAAAAATGGACATGTCACACAGTGACAATGTTCAGTGTTATGATTCTATCATAAGGATAAAAAATTCAGATTGATTTAGATGTTGATGAGAAACTTGTTGCTCTAGAGCCTTGTATATTTTCATCAGAATTAACTGAAAGAAGGGAAAATTGTTTCTAATATGATACAGGATGTTCATCCTGATCATTTTATTATTGATTTCTTTAGTTACCATCAGTTCATCTCTGAGCAGCTCATTCATTTAGAAAGATGATAGCTTGTAAGTTTAATTCTAAAACTCATTCTCATCCTTGTTAGCATTTGACATGCCAATGATTTTGCAGAGCTGGGTTGTTATCAGGACTCATGTTTAGTCAAAATGTTTAACACTTATTTCTTTGATTCCTGTAGAATTTCCTTATTAATTAACCCAGGGTCTATAAGCAACAAATTTTTAAATCAGATATATATCTATATGCATGTAATTCATTTTTTTCTCTTTGATTTTTGACTACTTTTTTATGCTGATATTTTAGAATTTCTATGAAATTAACACATTTCCTTAACAATTCAGGAAATCTGACTAACTGTACTTTAAAATTGTGCTTTGGTATCACCAGTAAATAAGAAGGCTTCAATTCATCAAAAAGATAATAATAAACTGTATTAATGCTTTCTTTTATTTATTTATTTTAATCCATCTACCAAAAACAATCAAGACAACAGCTTTAAAAAAATGCAATCATTAAATTACTACGACAGCCTAGTCTGCTTTTGTGGCTGTTTTGTTTTGATGGTTACCGAGAATGGAAACAGACAGATTATGTTTTTCTGCTTGTAATTGTCCAGTACCTCCAAAGGCCTCTTGCCTGGGCATGATCCCTTCTGGAATTGAATTCTGCATTCTTCTTCTATCACTAATCAAACAAAACACTATCAGAAGAAAACATTTCCATAACTGGATCCGGAGTGAAGGAAAATTTCAGATACTTAGACATGCATATACAATAAACAGTGTTTCCTGACAGGCTCATTAAAAAAGAATGACTCCACTATGTGTCAACTGCACAAATAGAATCCATTATAAGACTATGGACTCTTACTTCTGAAGTCTGCCTTTGTGCCCACCTAAGATTAGGAAAACTAAATCTTCCACTAGAATTTAAATATCACAGAAGCAGAAACGATTGCAATCTCTTTCCCCAGTGCCTTCCTTCCTCTTTCTCTCAGTCTTGGGTAGGTCCTGGTACATATGAGGCACTTGCTTAAAAAAATAACTGAAGGAACGAATGAAGTTGCTTAAGGCCGGGAGCAGTAGTCTGTAGATGAGTCGACTCTCACCTGTAGTCCCAGTACTTTGGGAGGCTGAGGCAGGAGGATCGCTTGAGGCCAGGAGTTCGAGACTAGCCTGGGCAACATTGTGAGATCCCATCTTTACAAAGAAATTTTAAAAATTAGCCAGGTGTTGTGACATGTACCTGTAGTCCCAGCCAATTGGGAGGCTGAAACAGTAGGATCACTTGAGCCCAGGAGTTTGAGGCTGAGCAAGATCTTGTCTTAAAAAAAAAAAAAAAAAAAGGTTGCATAAAGCAGCAGAGACAGGATCAACCTAGAATGTCTGTGGAAAAACTTTGAAAAAGCATACATTCTTAAAAATAAATGGGAAATCTGTGGCAGAGGAAACAGTAACTACTGACCTGATCTTCCCTTTTCATTTTATTTTAATTTCTAATTTGCTGTAATTGTATGGTGCTTTCAAATACTGATTAAAACTCTTAAAAAAATGAAAGAGAGAAATCACATTTTTCTGCTAAACTGAGTTTGTGGCATGCCTTCTTCCTTCATCTTGTTGATGCTCAAAGAATTATGCAACAGAGGGCCATCATACTGTTTAGTATGTTAAATTATTTTGATTCATGTACTTACTAGCAACATCATTTAAATGGTTTGGTTTCGTCATGGCCAGACTTAAGACACATAGCATAATTAAGTTGACAACCTAATATTCCACATTAAATCCTGGTGTTGGAAAAAGCTAAACTGATCGGAGAAATAAATCTGTCCAAAGTAGAAACTGTAATATGTATGTGAACATGTATATTCTCATCATCACTTTTTGTTTTCTTCTTTTGTTCTCTGTTCCTCCTGTTGAGTCTTGTGTAAGTCCAAATAAAAATTTTATTGTAGAGCCCAACAACAAAAACAATGATCTCTTATGTAATTGATGATTTTAAAAAATGCTTTGAAAGTCTTCTTCCATACTTTGTATCAGTATAAAGATATTGTACAGTGGTACAGAAAAAAATGGCTTTTGAAGTTCAGATGGTTTGAATCTTTGCTTCACCACTTACTAGCTATGTAATTGTGGGTTATCTGTGCATCTTTTTAAATTCTCACTTTTTCCATCTGTAAAATAAGAACAATATCAGTTACTTTGCATACTGATTGTAAAGATTATAAATAAGAACTGATGTATATATATTACTTGGCACAATGTCTGACCTGTTTCTGTTTTTCACAGTCAGGCTTCTCTTCCATTTTCTAAGGTGACTCGGACCTTACCACTCTAAAAATTCAAATCATGCCTTCACTTTCTGCAGATTGCACTTGTTACTTTAGAAGAAAAGGAAAACTATAAGATGGAAATTATTTTAATGTCCTCTTACCAAATCTACAAACCCCAGCACAATGCCTGTCACAGATACGGTCATTTAGTAAACATCTTTTGGATGGATAGGTGGATGGGTAGCTAAGTAAATTAACATACAGATTAGGTCTTTGGAAATGGTAGCTATTTTTATTACACCCTGTACAGTGACCTTAAAATTTGAAATCTACTGCTTTTGAAAAGCAGGTCATCCTGAGGTTTTCCATTTTGTACCTGCCAGATTGTGAAAAGAAGTTCATTTCAATGCTGCACAGCACATTTCCTGATCAGTTGGCTGAATTACAGTCATGCCATTTCATTTTGAGTTGGACAATTCAAGCATTTAGCCCTGATTTTTTTTTTTGACAGTAAGTTAGTTATTTTTATACTCATTCAACACATTTTTCCCCCACCACAGGTTATTGTAAAACCACCTGTCTCTGGGAGCACAGTTAATTCTGTGCATGAGATTTCTAAAAATGTTTTACATTGTCATTGCAGTTTTTTAAAAATGTAGAGATCCCTCTGCTATTCTTTTGCATTGCCAAATGCTTAGGTACCTTGGAAAACTGCTTAATTGGTTCTTCTTATCTCACTAGATTCTTTGGCCTTAGGTTGTGAATGGGTAACAATCATTTAACTTTTGATGTGCCCTGAAGTTTCCATCCAAAACTTTTTTCTTTGAATCTTTTTTAGGGTGAAAGAGAAGAATATGGGGGATCTAGGTGTACATTGATACTTTTTAGATGCCTTTGATGTCAGTCAGTAAACAGCAGTAGACATTTGGAAGAGCATGATAGAAGAGACAGGGCTAATTCCAGGTATTTAACCCCAAGTTAAGGAGACTTAACCTGAGGCTGGGTTATTTCTCTGATCTCTAGGGACAGAGTAGTGGCAAAGCCTTAAGGTGGTAAAATTTTTGAGAAACACTTCTAAAGACTTATGTTTTGTTTTAGAATCCTATCTAAAAGCATTTCAAACAAATTAAGTTAAGCCGTTCCTTTCTTACTGGATGTGTTCGGGCGCAGGGGGTGGGGGCAAAAAGAAGCATATGGTTGAAGCTCTGCACTGCAGTAATTTGTAAAAGAAGTACTTTTCCTGCTAGGTTAAATTGCTCTGCCTGCCTCTTGCTGTCAGGGACATGATTTAGTTAAATACGGATGCTTTTAGAGGGGCTTTGTACTGCATCATACATATTTAATAGTTTATAAAATATCTGTGTGAATCACTGGGTGGAGAATCCAGCAGCAGAGAAGCTCAACCTTCACATTGGAGCCTCTGGCCTTAGGGTCCACTGACCAGTTGACCACTGGAAAAGGTGTGTTCAGAATGGGAGCGTCCTGAATAACCCAAGGATTCTACTGATTTCAACAGAATAAGCTTAGCATCTAACCTTTCAGATTTTTTCAGTAATGTGAACTTTACATTTTCTCAAGTCACATTATTCATAGATGTTCTAATTCCCCAGGGATCGAAGTATAGCATTAAGGAAAATCCCTTCTCAATAAAAAAATGGTATTGGGTGAGGGGAGGGGGACAGAAAAAGCTCTTAGATGTTCTATAGCAATTAATGGTTGCCATATAAAGATACCTCATTGTCATTAGATAATGGTTAAAATTATATGAATCTTTTACCCTTGATATAATTTTGAAATTCATCTTAAAAATCAATTCCTTAAAATAAAAGTAGTAGGGGAAAGAGGTAGTGATGGGTGGAGGCTGGGGGATGATGCAGAGAAGGAAAAAAATAAGCAAGTGGAGGTTACTAAATGTAGCATTGGTGGATTATTTTGTTTGTTTGGCATAGGTAATGAGTTTTATAATAAAACTTACTATAGTATATCAAGATAGGCTCCTTTCATATATGAACCCAGAAACACCATGAAAAATTTTTTAAAAAGTTCCAGCATTTTATTATGAAATTTTCAAACATAGAGAAAAGGTGAATTAATCATTCAGTAAACAAACTTATGCCCACTACCAAGATTTTACAGTTAATATTTTCCTATATTTGCTTACTGAGTGTCTACCCATTTATCTATCAACTTTTTATTTTTGATGAAATTTCCTGTATATATGAGTTCATTTTACCCCCAAATATCCCAGCATGCATAGTATATATATTTTATTACATTGTTTAAGAGAACATGTAGGTCATGGATTATGCTATCAAATAGAATATATGTTTCTCTCAAATAAGCCACCATATTTGGACCGAGGGTTTTCTAGTCATCATATTTCAGAGTATAACTCAGACAGTAGCAGCCTTCTTGTTCCTGTTCCCTAATAATTACTCCTTCCCCTGTCCCAGGCTTTTAATTCTCCAAATTAAAAGAGGATGTAACCTCGGCTTCCTGATTCCCAGATACTGATAATTTTTGGTACAGTTTGTGTTTGAGCTACTGCAGTAATGTTCGGGCGATTCCCATTTTGGTGACAGTCTTCTTTCCTGAGGATACATTGCCTTCCTATCCTCTGTAGTTTCTTTATTCTATACTTTCCTATGTAAGCAATAAAGCTAATTGTAATGCTCCCACAATTCAGGTAGCGTCTAATCTCCAGCCTGTTCTCAGGGGAAGTTGTTGGGTTCTGGAGCACACATTTTGTGTGCTCCCTTAGTTTGACAAAATGCTGTTTAATAACAGAGTCCAAATATGAATATTAGTCTCTGAATATCTTTCAGAAAGAGGCCCATTAAGTAGAGTTGTGACCACAAGTGGTCGTGGGAGCATTAAAGAGTAAACTTTCAAGTAGAAATGGTCCAGGGAAACAGTCAAAGTGAGGTATTGGTACAGACATCATTCATGGCTCTAGGCGAGAGAAAGTCTAAACTATCTAATCAAGTGTGTGTATCTGAGTTGGCAGTATGCAACTAAAAGCTTTCCTTTGTAGAAATTAATTAAAAAGAAGGAGAAATAGATGTGATTCCCAGTCCTGACTTTGAAATTAATTTCTGTGTGACTCTAAGCAGGTTTTTTGTTTGTTTGTTTTTACCTCCCAATAACTTTTTTTCTTCTTGTATAAAATAAAATTCATGTAATGGGTGCAGCAAACTAACATGGCACATGTATACCTGTGTAACAAACCTGCACGTTGTGCACATGTACCCTAGAACTTAAAGTATAATAAAAAAATTAAATAAATAAAATTCATGGGTAAGGCCTGTTGCAGCTCCAACATTCAGTCAATAAAAAAAATTTAAATCTAATTATTATTGAGATTACAGTTGACCTTTGCATTAAACCTAAATTCTTTTACTCCAAATAACTACTGAAATAGAAAGAAAAGACACAAGTCTATTTTCTTTTTTCTCCCAGTGTCTTAGAGATATGGTCTCCTTCTGTTGCCTAGGCTGGTCTCGGACTCCTGGCCTCAGGCAATCCTCCTGCCTCATCCTCCCTAGTAGTTGGGATCACGGGCAGGAGCGACCATGTTGGACAGAAAAGAAACAAGTCATTCTTAAACAAATCTGACTCTAGCAACCTATTGTATAATTTATGGTAGAAACATTTGAGCTGGAGGTCAAATCATAAGATATTTTTATCTTATAACTTTCAAATTCATATCGTTTTAAGTAATAAAAATTGTAACAATTTTCTGTAAACAGAAAAGGTTTCCACCCCTTGAGCTGAAAAGCAGCAGGAAAAGGAGATTGGCATTTCATTTTAAATGGGATACGTCTGCTTCCATGAGCATCATAAAGGTTATGACCTTACGGTAGTGTTGCCTGACAGGTGGCTCACTAAGAATGCCAAATCAGTTCTGGAAACTGCATATACTTTTATTTCTTCTTTTTTTTTTGTTCCCTTTGGTGCAACTTTGTATTTTCATTTTGATCAGCAACAAGGAGAAAAAAAATGTGTGTACTCTAAGGAAAACGTATATTGTAAGACATTTTCTCTGGCTAAGGTCTTTTCAGGTTTAGAAATGTGAACTGGCCAGGCGTGGTGGCTCATGCCTATAATCCTAGCACTTTGGGAGGCCGAGGTGGGCGGATCACCTGAGGTCAGGAGTTGGAGACCAGCCTGGCCAACATGGAGAAACCTCATCTGTACTAAAAATACAAAAATTAGCCAGGTGTGGTGGTGCATGCCTGTAATCCCAGCTACCTAGGAAGCCAAGACAGGAGAATCACTGGAACCTGGGAGGTGGAGGCTGCAGTGAGGTGAGATCGCGCCACTGCACTCCAGCCTAAGCGACAGAGCAAGATTCCATTTCAAAATAAATAAATAAATATAAAAGAGAAAAGAAATTTGAACCATGTTTAAAAGTAGAATACTTCAGGTAATCCCTTTCCTCAAGCTTTCTTTATTCTGGGAATGTTGTGCAAGTATATTTTATACATGGGCTTATGTGAAGTTTCAGTCTCTTGAATAGCTGGTACTCTCTTATGAGTAATTCATAACTGCCTTCACATGTGTATAATCTCATGCTCAACTGTTTCTCTCTATTTTAAGCAGGAGATTTAAAAATCAAATTAACACATATTTCTAGAGCATTTGCTATAAGTGATATGCTGTGCTATATACTGACTAACTACATTTCTGGGTTGATTGGGGGACCAGTTTATAGAATTGGCTGACAAGCAACTGAACTTTAAAACAAATAGCTAGTGCTTAAGTATAAGTCAAGTTCAATCACTCCCATTTTTAAAACTTTGCTGAATTTATATTAAACCGACATTGGTTATTCAAGGTATTTCTTCCTTGTTTTTAGCTAAAACTTCTCTTACTGCATTAAACTACATCCATTATCATTTTCATTAAATAAGATTGCACATTGGATATGTACATAAAAGCAAAATTATATCTTGCATTTTTGTTACATTTGCCAGAAGAATGAAAAACAAACAACAGAAAATTTCTCTGAGCTGTGCTGCTCTATGCCCTGAACGTAACTGTAATAGTGAATATTAATGAGACACAGCAAAGATATTTGCTCAAGGTAGCTAAGCCAATATGTATTGCTCCAGTAAATGTTAGAAATGACCATTCATCCACATAACCTCAGATTAGTCTGCATAAAGATAATGTTTCTTTTGTTTTTTCTTCTTTTTGTCACACACACACACACACACACACACACACGCACGCACACACACCACACAGTAATTTAACATTATTTGCATTTACTCACACTGGTAAAACACACGTCTCAAAGATGTTTCCCATAGTTTATTCATCCCTCTTCTATGTCGTTTTCATTTGGATGCATTTGCTTAACAATGTCTGCTGTGTGCCAGGCATGCTCTAGGTACTGGGGATATAGCAGTGGACGCAGACACAAGTGCATGGTCTTATGGAGCTGACATTCTGGTATTGAGTTTATCACGTTTGATAAGAAAACACAGATAATACAGGAAGACTGCCATTTGCCCCTCATCCTTGGCACTTATTTCCAGTGGAGTCCTTCATCCCAAAGATCTCAGACCCGCACACACACACACACACACACACACACACACACACACACACAGAAACTAGTAAATGGATATGTCATTGAGACTCTGAATTCAAAAGGCTTCTGAGAACATGAGCAAAGGCTTATCTTTCTATCCCATTTTATATACTAAAATATTATTTTTCTGTTCAACTCCATCCTATTTCCCTATTTAAAATATACATATCGGCAGGCGTGGTGGCTCACGACTGTAATACCAGCACTTTGGGAGGCTGTGGTGGGAGGATTGTTGAGGCCAGGAGTTTGAGGCTATGGTGAGTTATGATTGCACCATTGCATTCTAGCCTGGGTATGAAAGTGAGACCCTGCCTCTACAAAATAATAATAATAATAGTTCAAAAATAAGTTAGCCAGGCATGGTGGCATGCACCTGTAGTCTCAGCTACTTGAGAGGCTAAGGTGGGAGGATTGCTTGAGCCCAGGATATCAAGGCTGCAGTGACTAGGATTGCACCACTGCACTCCAGCCTGGGAGAGAGAGTGAAACCCCGTCTCTAAATATATACATATATATATATAAATATATTTTTATATATGTAAATTAATATCAAGTTCAGAGTTCATAGTTAATAATTGCCTGAGATTCACTGCCATATTGCCTATTGATACTTTCTAGAAGAAAGGGTAGCCGACACATAACAAAGTCTCATTTTTCCTTGAGTTGAAATTCACACAGCAAAATTAACCATTTGAAAGTCAACAACTCAGTTGCATTTATTGCACTGTTGTGCAACCACCCCTTCCATCTAGTTCCAAAACCTCTCCAGTGGAATTTTAAAAGAAGGACAACTTGTAAAATGACCAATAAACTGTGTTTGTAGAAAATTAATGATTTTACTTATGGAGAGTGAGAAATTAATAGGTTCTCCCAAAGTAAAGCAAACTCACTGTAACTATCGTATGCAATTAAAATATCTTTCCATATGAAATTCTCACATCCTCATCTTTGAGATCATTTACTGTATCTTCAGTTACAGAGGATCTAAACTCATAAAGAACAAAATGTACCAGAGTAAATTGCTCATCGTGTTACAGAATGAGAACACAGAGCACAGTCAATATCAAGTACTTGATACAGCATCTCACAAAGTAATGCTTAAAATTAAGTCAAATTGTCTGCTCTGAGAACATTTTCACTGGGTAAGAATAATCAGTCTTGACTCACCTTTAAAGTGGGCAGAAAAGACATGCCCAGGAAGGTAAAATGAGTTTCATTCATCTCACCTATTTTGCATCATAAATAATGTACAAGAACATCACACAGCACATGGATTTGGTTTGCTCTCAGAGAACTTTTCTATTTAGCTGGGGAGAGAGGAATGACAAGAAAAAATAGTTAAATATTAGCATATTCCAAATTTTCCCTCCACTGATAGGATCTGTGGTAGTTGAGTTTCGCTAGATCAGGCTAAATTAATTCAAGGCATACTTTGGAACAATCAGAGAAAATTTGATAAGGAAGTATCTGAATAGGCCATTAAAAGACTTGAAAAAATGGAGAGGAGGAGTATAGAGGGTATTTTAGATAGTTGGCTATGAATAAAGCCTGCTGATTTATTAGAGACCCCATAATCTGTGTAATGCAATCCCAATCCAAAGTAAAACCAAACAAAATGTATGTATTGAATGGACAGCCCAGCTCTAAGTTTGGGACAATCAAATACTGATAGTCTTTGCCTTCAAATAAATTGCATTCTTCAGCCCTGTATACACGATGTAATTAAATGATGACACATGACTGTGAACATGTACCCCAATAAATGGTACAGTTAAGAAATGCTGGGTCTATGATTTGGAAAAATGGGAAGGGCTTCGTCAAGGAGCTGAGACCTAGCTGAGGGCATGTTTTTTGGATAGGTGGAAGAAGCTGACAGATCCATTGGTGTACTTTATCCTCCAGAGAAGCTGCAAGTTTTGAAAGTCAACTTCAGGACATGGAGCTTTCTTGTGAAAATTATGATTTCATAATTCCTCAGCAAATAAATAAATAATTGCCATTTGTATGTAGGGATCTCTCCAAATGAAACGACTGCTGCCATCATTTTTATTTTATGTTAGATACCATGAAGTAAATTCTACTCTTTTGCCAGCCGTAAAATTTAGGAGCAAGAATAAACTTTTTCAGTGATAATATTTTTAGATTTTGGAGATAATATTTTTAGAGTTATATTGCCAAGATACAGGAAAAAAGTCAAAGAGAAAATAAGTGAGTAATAAGGTCAAAAGCAAAATGTCATTTATCATTCTCTTTCATCTGTTGGAGCTACCGTACATTCTTCTGATGATAAAGTAAATAAAAGTAAAGCAGAATGACTAGCTTGAATTCATAGCCTAGCTTGAATTGATGTAGCTGAGGAATTCTAGTATTTTTTATTTGATGATATTACAGGATGTTTTTCTTCATTGAAGCCAGCTTAGAAGGAAGCTGAAATATTATGAAAGTGGATCAGAAATACAAATATATTTTACTTTATTCTGCCAAATCCCATTCTATATTACCGTGTCTCTTCTTGATCCAGGTTGGCATACTAGCATTTACTTCCTTATCCTCTGTGGCAGATTAATTGTGGCTGCAAATTCTTTGCCACTTTCTCCCTCAAGATTTATTTCTTCTGTCCTTGAGTCTGGGCTGGCACGGTGACTGCTTAACCAATAGGATGCAGTGGAAATAGTTTGTTCTGCTTTCAGGCACAGACTTTTAAGAGAACTGGCAGCTTGTGTTTTCTTCTTCTTGGGGTGCTTTCTCTCACAACCTGGCCACCATGCTGTGGGAAGCTCAAGCCACAAGGAGAGGCCACAGGTTGGTGCACCATTTCACAGTGCCGGCTGGCATCTAGCAGCAGCTGCCGGTCGTCATGTGGGGGAGCCATCTTGAACGTTTCCACCTAGTTGCACCTCACCTGCAGCACCAGCTGACGTCAAATGAAGCGGAAGAACCACTCAGCTGAACCCAGTAAACCTACAGAATAAAATGGCGGTTGTTGTAAGCTATTTCCAGGTGGTTTGTTTCACAGCAATACATAACTGAAATCGCTTCCCAAGGAAAGTCCTGGAATGAGACCATGGAAGAGCTCATTTGATTTAAATGATAAATAGACAGTATTTAAATGGCCTATGCTTAATTCTTATAATTTCTAAAAATTATTAGGCAAAATTGTAGAAGTCTTATTTTGGAAACTAGATCCTTTTAAGTTTGTTTACAAATTATATTAAGGTAATAATTCCTATTTCATTGTTACATATTCTGGTTCTCATAGTCTCTCCTTGAAGTGGTATGTAATCAATAATATAATCAAATGCACCCTTTTGATGAAATAACAAAAGCAGTATTTTTCAGCAGAAATAGGATGAATCAGAACGTACTCAAATCTTGGCCACATAGCTATGTGTCCATGGCAAAATTACCTAAGCTGCCTGGGCCAATGAAATAAAAAAAAAATTTAAGATAAATATGGACTGTATGGGATTAGTGAAGATCAGAAATAATGTATATTATGAACCTAGCAGAGTGCCTGTCACCTGGGTGGAACTCAACAAAGGTAGCTTTTATTATTGTGAGGGAGATGGTGATAAAAGGTTAGGTAGTAAAAAATTGTGTAGTTTATTTTTCTAAGAGGACATGGAAATGGGGTGTTCCTGGGCTTTACTGGGGTGGAGCTTAAAGGGTTAAAATGATATATCCTTGCAGTTTTTCCTACAAACATGCATGTTTTATCCAAAGGAAATTCTGACCTCTAACCCCATTCACACTTTCCTTTCTTACTCTTTTATTGCTATAGAGGATTTGATGAAGGCAGAAAGGCAACTTCTGGGTCCTAGTCCCAAGGGTAGAACTAATGGAGAATTCTTTTATTCTTCACCTCCCATCCTTCTCCATTTCCCCATTTACATTCTTTTTCCAATTTGGCGGAAAAAAAGCAATGTTATAGGAAGCTGGCTGTCTGCAGATTAGTCTTAGCACCAAGGTGGAATGACTTTTGGGGGAAAAACAGACACATCCCAAAGTCTGGCTCATGTAGTCCAAGGGAAAGAGTACTTGTGGCAGTCCATAGGATTCTCTCTCTGATGTGTTGTCCTAGTCTTTGTATAAAATGTTGGTTTTCTCTGTAAGTGTTGGGTATTTTCAGTGTAACAGCTAGAGCAATGCCCAGTAACTTTTTTTTTTTTTTCTGCTGAATATGTTTGCTCTTAATGGTTGAGGTAAGGTGAATAATTGCTCTTGGTGTAAGTTAAAGACCACTTTTCTAAACTATGGGTTATCATGCTTGGTATTTTCTCCTATCTGCCTGACTTGAGGCCACCTGAACCCCATTTTGGTCTTTGAAATTTAGCTGACCTTGGCCTTGGATGAAATGCTGGTGTATTGAGTATAATAGTTTTGGTTTAGGTCAAAATTGGGGAATTCAGTGCCGTATATTTCAACTGGGTGCTTTTTGAAGAAATCATAAATTACCCTAGTTTAGCATAAACACCTGCTGATATTGTTTCTGAATATTTACATGAATATTGATCATTGAGATCTTACTATCTTTCAATTTGAATGCTTTAAATGCTTCAATAGATGTTTTCTACACCGTGAAATTGTATGTCCTTTGCTAGAATCTTTGTAAGAGAGGTCTCACTGCTTTGAAGTCAAATAAACCTAGAAAATAAGCATAGGAATTATTTTTAAACACCATTTACTGTGCAGATTATAGAGAGATGAACTCAAGGATAACTCATGTTGCTCATAAACTTGTCATAGTCATGGTTACATTTATGCAAATTGGCACAGGCTTTTGTTGTTGTTAGTTATAGTACTGCAAACACAGTTTAAGATGTTAAGACCCTTTAAATCATGTATAATTATGGACTAATTTCATCTTGAAGGAAGAAGTGATAATATTCTTATCTCCTGCCGTTTAAAGCTGAAACATACCTCAAAGTAGTGGAGATTGTGCCCTACAAAATATAATGTGCTTAAAGCGGATTTTCTCAGGACTTGAATTCTAAATTTTACTGCTTCAGGGACTCATATGATGGCTATGTAGTATAGATTTAGAGAGAGTTTTACAGACTCCTATTGACATAAGTGAACAAAATGGTTCCTTGGAAACCGTTTAGATGTCCAATCACAGTAAGTGTGGATTACAGGTTCAGATGCATATTGTGTGCAGTGATGTGCAGCACAGTGCTTGGGGAAGCCTGTGGTCTGTATTAAGAACAGTGCATTTCTTCTAGTGTTTTAATGACTGTTGTTTTAAAAGAAAAAAACAGTCAGCATTGAAACTACTGAAAGGTAAAGCTCCTGAAACCTAACCCAAAAGGCATGCTCTCATAGAAAACTCTTCTTAGTACTTTCAGTGCGGTGATAGCTGAGGACATGTGGTATATATTACAGTGCCAGGGAATCCAAACCTCTGCAGTGTGGAGTCACCATGAAAGGCTAATCTAAAAATGAAGTGGTAGCTTTGCTCGCATCATAACTCTGTTACTTACTGGTGCTTCCTATTAGCTTGACATTATTAGTCTTCTTTGGGTGAGATAGAATAAATGGAAATTCAAAGGGGACCACAGCAGGGGATATATGGGCTGCCAACCCCTCCCCTAGCACTCCCTTCCTCCAGCCTGTACTCAGCATTTCTCCCTGGGCATGACAAACAAAGTCTTACATAGTCATTGCAAAAAGGGCTAAAGGCAGAGCTGTCCATGGTTAGGAAAAAAATGTTCAAACTGTTGGTTGAAAATCAGGTAATAACAGTCCTCTTAGTGAACAAAACTTATTAGAGGGCTAGGGAAGGAATGCTATCTCTCAGCAGCAGGCAGGAAGAAATTGCTGTTGAAAAGCTTACCTCTCTAGGGAGGAATCAGATAGCAGACTTCAAGCCTCAGGTCCAACCCATAAGGTCCCACCTACACCACCCCCCACCCCATCCCCATCCCAGCTTTGTTAGATTGCTAGCATCGATCGCTGGCTTTCTCTGACCCAACAGTGGGTGAAGGAAAGAGACTGAAAGCTGGCAAGGTGGGGGTGGAAGAAGACTGGGACAGCTTTTGTAGAGAAAGAAAGAAAAAGGAGGAAAACGGGTGGGGGCCATGGGGACTAGGCTTAACTGATGCCTGCCTGCCTCTCTTTGATTTGATGGCCTTTATTCCTTCTAATTGGATAAAATAGGAAGTCACTGGCAGTCCTGTGTGGCTGGGGATACTGATTTTACTCAGACCAGCCTGCAGCTCTAGAGTGTGGGTAGAGAGCGGGGAGTGGGGGTTGGGAGAGGGGGAGGAAAGAGAGAGAGGAGAGAGGACGGGCTTGGATGAAGAAGGGAAAGAAAGAGAAAGAGACTGAAGCAGAGAAGAGCCGCAGAGGAAGAAAGTGAATGAGCACTCAAGAAGGACAAAGAGGAGTAGTCGGGGGTGGGGTGGAGGCAGGGCGGGGAAGGGAGTGACCGCCCCTCCTGGCTGCACTCTTGCCTCCGGAGCCCTCTGATCCTGTTTGCAGTGATGCTCCGAGGGCAGGCACCTGCTGCTCTGTAATGATTCAGCCCCTTTCAGCCGTCGTCGCGTTAACACAACAGGATGCTGTTGCTATTGTCACTACTGCCTCTCCTGCCGCCGCTGCTGCTGCCGCCGCCGCCACCGCCGCTGGTCCTCCTTCTGCTTTTACTTCTCCTGCATGACAGTTGTTTTCTTCATCTGAGCAGACACCAGCTTCAGATGCTCGAGGTGAGAAACATGCCTTTCAGTTTGGGCTACTGGTTTACTTAATTAATCAGCCGGCAGCTCCGTCGATCTATTTTCGTCCCTGTCCTCTTGACGAGCCCGGGATGGTTTGGAGTAGCATTTAAAAGAACTAGAAAAGTGGCCCAGAAACAGCAGCTTAAAGAATTATTACGATATACTTTGATTTTGTAGTTGCTAGGAGCTTTTCTTCCCCCCTTGCATCTTTCTGAACTCTTCTTGATTTTAATAATGGCCTTGGACTTGGACGATTTATCGATTTCCCCCTGTAAGATGCTGTATCATTTGGTTGGGGGGGCCTCTGCGTGGTAATGGACCGTGAGAGCGGCCAGGCCTTCTTCTGGAGGTGAGCCGATGGAGATTTATTCCCCAGACATGTCTGAGGTCGCCGCCGAGAGGTCCTCCAGCCCCTCCACTCAGCTGAGTGCAGACCCATCTCTTGATGGGCTTCCGGCAGCAGAAGACATGCCAGAGCCCCAGACTGAAGATGGGAGAACCCCTGGACTCGTGGGCCTGGCCGTGCCCTGCTGTGCGTGCCTAGAAGCTGAGCGCCTGAGAGGTTGCCTCAACTCAGAGAAAATCTGCATTGTCCCCATCCTGGCTTGCCTGGTCAGCCTCTGCCTCTGCATCGCCGGCCTCAAGTGGGTATTTGTGGACAAGATCTTTGAATATGACTCTCCTACTCACCTTGACCCTGGGGGGTTAGGCCAGGACCCTATTATTTCTCTGGACGCAACTGCTGCCTCAGCTGTGTGGGTGTCGTCTGAGGCATACACTTCACCTGTCTCTAGGGCTCAATCTGAAAGTGAGGTTCAAGTTACAGTGCAAGGTGACAAGGCTGTTGTCTCCTTTGAACCATCAGCGGCACCGACACCGAAGAATCGTATTTTTGCCTTTTCTTTCTTGCCGTCCACTGCGCCATCCTTCCCTTCACCCACCCGGAACCCTGAGGTGAGAACGCCCAAGTCAGCAACTCAGCCACAAACAACAGAAACTAATCTCCAAACTGCTCCTAAACTTTGTAAGTAGAGAGAGAGAGAGAGACGATGATGATGATGAATAAAAGGGGTGGGTTTGAGGTCCCCAAAGGACATTTCCCTTTCTTCTTGCATTTTAGTTGCCTGGTTTTGTTTAAGCAAAGCCTATGTTTGAGATGCTTGGGATGGCATTGAAGGGCCGAGTAAAATGATCTTGCAAACTCCGGATCTGAACCAGTGTTGTAACAGCAGCTCTCTCTAGCCACATGGCTCAATCTGGTACCGGGAATGAAAAACTTCAGCATCTGCAAGTCATGCTTGAATTTAAGTTAAATTCAATTTATTTCTAACACATTTTAAAATTAAAACATCACGCCATCTCTTATGTTTTATAGAAATGTGACTTTCATATACCAGTGAGTATTATTTTGTGTCTTTCTCTTCCCCATCATAGATTTCCTGTCATCTCTCTGTTACCCTCTACCTCTCAGCGACCCCAAGCTGCCTGTTGTCTCTCTCTCCTTCCCGTTCCCTAACCACTTCTCCCTACTTTTGTATCTTAATTGGTTCTTTGAGATTACAGCAAGTCTTAAGACATTTACGGTGCTAGCCTCTCACTAGCTTGAGACGACTGCTGTCCTGCCCAGATGGCACTTTCAGTTAGTGAGCACTTACTAGTGGCAGCTTTATTTTGTCCAGGACACAGTAGGATTCTGCATGAAGGATTTTCCCAAATTAGTTTTGTCTTCTATAATCAAATGTTTAAATAGCTTCCTTGGCAGTTGTTAAAAAGTACAAGATCCATTAGTGAGGTACATCTTTTTTTTTTTTTTTTTTTTTGATGTATGTCATCTTAGTCTGGCAGATTGCAGCGGCCCAGTTTAATAACCTGTGATGTGCAGAGAGCCCACGCTCTTAAAAACAATACATTCCTGTTTGCATTGCGTAATTGCAATAGCTTTAGAGTGGAAAGTTGACAGGAATGAAAGCATGACTGTTCTAAATATCAATATAGAAGGGAGGAGTTTTCTGTAGCCTTTTAAAAATGTTTCTAGTTTATTTTTGTTGTCTCTATCTCCTATCACTTTTTACCATGAGGAATATTTACTTAGTAGAAAAGTACAAGATCAGAAAATTTGGTTCTTAATAACTTGCATGAAAGCTCTTAGGGTTAAAAGAGAGTTGACAATTTCTCTGACGAAATGCCTCTTGTTTTTCCTCTGGACAGTAATGAAGAATAAAGAATACCTTTTCCAGACATCATGTTCAGTGTGAAGTAGTGCAGCATGCTGTAGAAACACAGAAAAACTTGATTTGTGCTTGTAACTCCCGATCATTTCACGAACACCAGATTCAGTGGCAAAGATTTAAAGAAAAAAAAAGTCTTGTTTTCTAGGTGCAATTAGGGAAAACCTCCTTCATGCAGACGCTGCTTTGTATCTTTATCAAATCCCTGAAGCATCATTAAAGGTCTGACAGACATCACTGCCTTTGCTGCCTCTTCCCACCTGGCAAAGTGACTGGGAAATAATACCCAGATGAAATGACAGGCTATAAAAAGCAAGTACAGATCCTGCAAAAAGAAGCGAAATTCACCAGGAGGACAAGGTTACTTGATCATTTTAAACTTGTCTTTAATTGAAATCTGCTTGAACAGGTTTCATTGTCCAGAGAAAGAAAAAAATGCCCTTTGAAAAACACTTCAACTAAATTCTATAATTTTGTCATCTGAGGAAATCAGGAAAACAAAGAAACATCTAACACATTTTCCTGATCTAAGACCATGTCAGAAAGTATGTTGTGAAGTTTTGATAAATTATTTTATAAAGTAAATTTTTCTACTAAGTGTTTTAGTAGATTACATATTCCTTATCAGTTTTTTTTTCCCCAAGCCAGGGCATTGATATTGTGGCATCTGCAATAAATGGGAAAGATTTACTGCTGCCTAAAAGCATCATTGTGGCCAGTTTGACCAGATGCACAGCTGCAACGTTTTGAAGTGCATCGGAGATAAGCCTAGAGAAGCAGTCTGGGAAGTAGTTTTCTCCTGAAAAGTTAGGGGTAGACAGTTAGTTGGTTAAGACTTTGAAACCTATAAGGAAACTCTGTTAATTTTTTAGACTAGTTCCTTAAAAAAACATCAAATCTTGTATTGTAAAAATTGTGAGACTACTTTTTTTGGGGGTGGGGAGAGGTTGTTGTGGGGAGAGTAGTGTTTGAAAGGGATTGGTCCAGGCAGCTTTGTTTTTAGAGACTTGTAAGTGGTTGTTTTTGTTGTTGTTTAAAAAGGTTGTAACCACTAATTAATGGAAAGCAAAAAAAAAAAAAAAAAAAAAAAAAAGCTTACAAAGGGATTGTATTTTTCAACTAAGAAAGTATTGTTTAGTCACAGAAAGAACTGGGACGTTCCTTTTCCCGTGCATGTTTTTGACATAAACTAAGCTGTCATGGCTTATATTTGAAAATGACATTATCATATGTGAAACATGCTCTTCAGTGGTTTTAGGACTTTATTCTCCCGTTTCCATTTTTTTTTCTGTCTCAGCATATTCAGCACATTATGCACAGAGCTGTAGCCTTCAAGGTCATAGACTGTTGAAGGCTAATTGATTCTTCTTTATCCTGGAGCCTGAGAGAGTAGAAGAGAGACAATCCCAGTAATTGTGTCTGCAGCGTTGCTCCCCAAACCAATCTACCTACTAATGTTAGAGTTTTATTTTATAAATACTAGAATTACTCCCTCACTGACTCTTGTCAAATTACAACATTCTTTGTCTTTGTTATAATAAAAGGCAAAATATGACATTTTAAATTGCCTTAAGGTATAGTGGCTATGTCGAATTTTCTAAAATGGGTATTTCTTTCATAAAGTAATATTTCATATTTTCATGATATTAATCTATGCATTCATGTAGGTCTTAAGAAGTCCAATGCAGAATTGGAATGAAAGTATATAAGTATATATTTTTATTCTAAAGTATTTCTAAATATGGTTAATGGTTTCCCACTACCACAATGATTATATTGTCATGATACTAATTAAGTTTTTACTTCTCAATGAGTCACATAATACTTGCACTATTCATTTGTTTTGTCTGGGCTTTAAAATTTTTCCTACCCTGACTGTTGGGAGATTGCAAACTTAGATTATCATAAAAAGAGCTGATTAATTAAATTATAGCCAGGAAACAGTGGTACCATCTTGAAAGAAAATGTTTTCTGGATATGAGATCCTCCCTGCTTGACAACAGATTCTTGGATGCAAGAATGTGTTGGTATTTTCATCTTGGGCCAACTTTGTTTTGCTTTGTCCTAAGTCTTATTATGGGATTGTATGACAAACCATTGTTACCGCAGTGACAATAAGAATCAGTAACCATTTGCAAAAGATCAACATGATGAGTTGGATATACCATAGGATTTCTTTCCTTCTATTTGAAAGTGCCGTTCATTTAAATTCTAATGCATCCTTCTTCTAGTTCTTGGTAACTATGTTTGTAGGTATTTCAGAACAGTGATTTTAAATAACTTCTCCCCACTTTAATCATAGCCGATTACAGCCTAAAATATTAAAAACTGGAAGAGACTGAAAGATCTTCTATTGGAACTGAATAATTTCATAAATTTACCAATGAAGAAACCCAGGCTCAGAAATGCCTATTGAAATTCTTTTATTAAAATATACTAAACTCTGAAAAATGTGGCAAAATCCAAAGTATTAGAAAATGTCTCTGTCTCTGAGAATTTAAACACACACACTCTCTCTCTCTACTGTTTTCTTCTATCATCGTATCCTTACTGTAGAGAGTTGGAGCTAGAGACGAATGTAGCATCAGACTGAGAATTAGGGAAGTACTTTAAGTGGGACCACTGTTCAGGTGTGTGTTTAGTGCATATCACTAAAATTAAATTTTCTTCTCGCCTTCCTGTTTTGCTCTTATTAAATTTTCAGTCGTGGTGGTCTTTTCCCTTTTTATTAGATCATCCATACTTTGTTCAGCTTGCTTCTGAAAACAGCATGGGTTGCCTAGGGTGAGTTCTTCCCTCATATATAGCAGATTGCTCTGTGGCTCACTTCTTTTCTTCATAACCCATTTTGTTTTCTCCTCTCTATTCTTTTGTGATACCCAACTCAGACTTCTTCTCCCCTTTCCTTCCTACCTTCCCAATTATGTATTGACTCTTTTTTATTTTTGTAATTATGTCATTTTGGCTTTATAGGTCAGTATTTCATTGCATCATATCAAAATAATTTCAACTGTCTTTAATGAAACTTTATTGCATTTTAATGCTGAATGGCACTTTCATATATTACAAACATACAAAAAAAATCTCTAGCCAATGACCAATATACCAGTTTCTTAATGACATAATTAAATCAAATTTTTACCTTCTTCTTGATCTTTTCCTCTTTTTTTTCTTTAGTGTGCTTGATTCCAGTTTTTCTGTTTTTGGACATCAGCATTTCTGTACTCCCAGAAAACGATGTTCCAAACCATACATCTGTGTTCTTCCTCCTTCCCTCTTCCTTTTAACAACTCTTCATAGTATCCTTTTAAAGTATGAAGGAAGAGGTATTTTATAGATTGAAAAACCAAAGCATAAAAAGTTATGACTTGTTTAGATGCCCCTGAGAACCAGGAATATAACTTGTCCACAGAGTCCATTGAACGTTCTACTACAGCATAAACTACATTCCGTCTACTTTTATGCTCATGTTTCTACTTTTATTACTTTTGCTCTACATCAATGCTTTGTTTTTCTTCTATTATTTCCTCTTTGGTTTTTTTTTGTTTGTTTGTTTGTTTGTTTGTTTTTCATTCAGTGAATGTACGCTAAGTGCCTACTCTGTGCCAGACTCTGTTCTAGACCGGTTATATGACAGTGGAAAACAGTAGAGTGCCTGCCCTCAGGGAGCTTATGTTCTAGTGGATTTTAAGAATCTAATTGCATAATGCAATTTGAGATATTTCTTGCTTTCTTATACATATACCCTCTTCATTCAGCATTTCTTCTTCTTTACTGTCATGTTATTCACCTTTTGACTTCCACTCCTGTCTTTTCTTAATATGTTTTCTTCTCCATCTACCAAATACTGAACACTTGCCCAGCAATGTCCTTTAACTGACAGCAATCCCACCTCTGCTACCAACAGGCTGAGTAGCCAGGGGTGATTCACCATATGGCACTATCTAATCAAACCATTGGAGTAGTGAGAAAAATTTGATCTGTCTGGCCCTTTAGGAGCACCCTCTTAAGATGAAAAATATATACATAATTCTTCTAGCATGTACATAAAGATTCTAAGATTATTTTCAGATTCTAGAGAGTTGGTAGCTGTAAATATTTTTGTTTCTATATTTTGCTCATATTTTTATGTATTGTTTTGGCTTGCATAACATCAAGAGTATTAAAATATTCCCAAGGGTTTTTCATTTCACTGTACGGACAAAGACTAGAATCTGCCATTAAGTTGTTTAGTTCTTAAACTGAATAAAGACATGAGTTCATATACTATTCACATGAAGAGTGATTGACTAGCAGTGAGTGAAGTTAATCCTCATCATCTCAAAGCTGATTGTAATCTTTACTGCAGTGAATTTTATCGTGTGTATGCGTGTGTGTGTGTGTGTGTGTGTAGACATTCAAAGGGTGTTTCTGAATAATATAACTAGTATCTTATAATCATAGAATTTTATATGCTGAACATTTTTAGAGATTATTTGTGTCACTTCCTAAGTGAGAAAAGGCAGGTCTGGAAAAGTGAAGTGACTTGCCCAGTGTCACTACAACCAATCAGTAGCAGTGCTGAGACTAAAACTGAAGTCATCCTTACCTTTGCTACACTTGCTTTTCTTCTCAAAACTGTTTTTAGCATTTATTCAAGTAGCATATGTTACGTTATCATAATTTAAAAGATTTGGTTTTCCCATTTATTATTTAAATACTAATTAGTAAAACTTTTATCACCCTATAGCAGATGTCTTCTTTAGAGAAGAGAATTTTGGCCAGGTGCGGTGGCTTACGCCTGTAATCCCAGCATTTTGGGAGGCCAAGGTGGGAGGATCACCTGAGGTCAGGAGTTCCAGACCAGCCTGGCCAACATGGTGAAACCCTGTGTCTACTAAAAATACAAAAATTAGCCAGGGGTGGGGGTTCATGCCTATAATCCCAGCTACTCGGGAGGCTGAGGAAGGAGAATCGCTTCAACCTGGGAGGCGGAGGTTGCAGTGAGCCGAGATCGTGCCACTGCATTCCAGCCAGGGTGACAGAGTCAGACTCTGCCTCAAAAAAAAAATAATTTTACCTTTATAATATTGATATGTATAAGACACCCCTCCGGAGGCTGGACATCTGTCTCCCAACAATATAATATATGAGAAAATGTTTTAATGATCAACGTTATCCCAACTGAAATGCGTTACATACTTAGAAAGAAATTAGTTCCTTAGTGCTTAAAGTATTCAAGCAGTGACACTGTTGAGGGAGATTTATGTTCCTAGCAGATTATTAACTATATTTACTTCTGAAGTCTCTTACAACTCTGGTTCTCTCAGTTTATTGTCTCAGGGTGTTAGCTTTCCAGTGGGTAGACTTGACTTTCAATCCTACTTGTCCCTCTTCATGGCCTTGAGCAAGTTAGACCATCATGTTAAATCTGTTTCCTCATTTAAATGTGATAATAATAATAATATACATGTCTTGAGGCTGTTAGGAGATTAAATGAGGTTTTGGAAAACTCCAAGTCCTAGGCCTGAGACATAAAAAATATGAAACCAGCACCAATTTTGTCCCTCATTCTATTTTAACTCCCTGCCTCACTTTGTTCTTTTTCTCCTTTGATCTTGACAGTGGTTTGGTAACAATGCCTGGAGAATACATTTTGGGGTTTTAGGGGAACCTTATGAAAAACTTTGAAGGAAGTGAAGAGTTGATGATACATCATGCTAAAGTAGGAATTATGCTAGAAACTCGAGATCAAATACCAGCTCTACCTCTTGCATGCTGTGTGACTTTGAGGAAATCACTTCACTTGAGATTTAGTTTTACATCCAAACAAATGGGGATGTTAACATCTAAAACTCTCAAGAGATTGTGATAAGGACAAAAGTGGTTACTGTACCTAAAGAAAACAGAGCTTAAAAATATATTGAATTCCTTCTTTGCCCTTTCTATCAGGGTTCGTGTATGCATATATTCACAAGTGCTAACATTTCTAGAAATAAATTGTAGGGGTTCTTTACCAGTGAATTAATTTGTTATGCCTTAAAATGGTCTGTAGGACTTTACTAATTTCTTGAGCCCAGTGTCATAAAAGGAGTATTTTTTCCCTTATACAAATTGGTTAGAATACATAGATTATTACCTTTGAGTTACATAGATTATTACTTTTTGAGTAATGTCCAAAAATCACTGCATGAGGGGCTTCATTATAGGGAAAGCGATAAGGAGTTACTTTTGAGAGAGGAAAAGACTGCATGGTATGTAAAATTGTGTTTGTCAAGTAAGTACTGTTTTTGGAAAGATTGGGACAACGGAAAACAATCTATACAGTTTAGATGTGGTGCAGGGGAAGAACTTGGCTAGAAATACCATGAATCCTAAGATTATGTTCACCTTACTCTTTTTATTGTTCCAAACTGGGATTTCCTGATCTCAAAAGATGGGAATTAACGTCTATGAGTTGTTTTCAGCATTTGACAAAAACCATGGAAATAATATACATCAAATAATTTTATATGAGCCAAATCAAATGTAGAAATTCTTTGAGTATACTACATCTATGTGTATCTATGTGTGTATACATACATACATATAATTCATACATATAATATTCTAAATAAAGGGGAAAATTATTTGACAATAAAATGAGCAGATAAAAATATTTTTAAATTTGGACAAACAGGTTGTTTATTAATAGGTTTGGGAGGGGTGGACAAAAAAACTTCTAGCCCTATGCCTAACTGCTAGAGTAAAAGAGAAAAAAAAGTGTTTTAAAAGTAAAAAATAATTGGAGCTTAAGTATATATTGGAGATTCTGTTGCAAGTAACTTAAAATGAAATCTTACTAGCTGGATTATTGGCCAGAATCCTACAAAAAGGGAAGAAGCCAGTGCTGTTCTAGATATACACACTTAAGGGATTTTGGTATTTTTGTTGTATACCTTATGGTTTTTCTAACAGACAGATATAAGTTTGTAAGAGCTTGCCATTTACAAAAATGTATAGTAGTGGGCATAATATATGTATTTTTATTTATTCTTTAAAGTAGAACTAGAAATATGTGAGATCCTTTGTTCATCTTGATTGTTATTCACTCAAGTATAATACCTTTGCTGCAGAAATTGAACTCTAAATCAATACTGGAGCAATGAGGCAGCCCCTTCGAAGCATAAAATATTTGATAACAATCTAGAGTATGTTTTGCCTGGGTATAAGTTTTCTGACTGTACAATGGAAATAAGCTGATGGACCCAATAAAACTTGGTGAAATAAAATGGAAAGCTTCCTCAGGTAAAATATTTTAAATTTTTCATCAGAAACATGATAGGACAAGACTTGATTTACTGTGATTTTCAGTGATAGGCACTTAGTGTTTGAGTTGCATTTCATGAGGTGGTTGTCTCCCAGCCAAAGGAGAAATTCATGAACTCTCTTTGAAGCCAGAGTTAGCACAGAATTTAATATGCATGTAATTATCAAATGTAAAAATCTTCATAATTTATTTTAGTTTAAAAGTTATTAATTTAAAATTAAACCAAATGTACATATATGCATATGCATTTGGAAGAAAGATGAGAGCAACACTGAAGACAATGATAGTTGCCATTAGGAAGAAACTTAATTCATAGGCAAGCAGAAGACCCTATATCTTCCAGTTCCTAACTGTGTTGCCTGTATTGGTGTACAATGTAATATAATTTTGTTTCCCCCGTTTACCTTCCTTTTCCCTCCCTTTGTTTCTTTCATACTTGCCATTCACAGTTACTCTTCTCTTTCCTCTATTCTTTCATACCCCACCTATTCCTTCTTCTCCAGCGATCTCAGGGCACATGGCTCCACACTTCTCTCTCCCACCCTGCTCTGAAGCCAGTGTCCTAAAGCATCAGAGGTTATAGAGTAGATGGCCCAGACCTGTGGTTTCTCACTGGATGGTTAGTGGGAGAGAGTGAATGAGACCTTAACCACAGTCTTGACCATGATTAGCCTGATGACTTTCAGTGTTGCCTCTTCCTTTGCTAAGTAACAGGAAGTAATTGTTTTATGAAATATGTTGGTGTCACAGCAATAAAAGCTCCATACATAAATGGAATGATCTAAGGATAGTAGAATTGAACTCTTGTTAGCATTTGTTTGTAATCCCTTGGTAGAGCTTCCTGGGTCATAATTGCTTGCTCTTCTGGGAGCAAAAGGAATCAGTAACCATTGATTGTTACATGATGCTAAGTACTGCCTACAAAGCAAATCTTAAGAATGATTAGTGGCAGAGTTCAGGGTTACTACTCTGATCTCTTTTTACTATAATCTTTAAAGCAAGCTGAATTTCACAGTTTTTCCCATCAAGCAACTCCTATGATTCTTCAAAAGGAAGAGAAAAAATAATGTCATGTAATCTATAAAAGCTTCAGTTGACATCAAAAACAAACAAAAATATGTAAAATAATTACTTCAGTTTTTTTAAATCTTCCTACTTCCACGATAACAGGGAGACATCTAAATTAACCCCTGACCAGTAACTTTAGTCTTGCATGAATATGATCCTTATAATCTTAATTGATCTGAACTATGGAACCTGTGGTACACAGTCAATAACCTACATAGCCGCTGCCTATTTAGTAAACTATACATGTAATCAGTGGGATCAATACAAGGATTCTCAAAATCCTTGCAAAATTCATTCTTCAAGATTGCTGAGTTTTCTGAATAGCTGATGATTTGTCACCTTGAAACTTTTTTATCTATTTTGGATTGAAATCTTTTAATAACTTACAATACTAGTGACTACTGTCATTTTAAATGGGATTTATTGAATATAGGATCTTCACAATGTTGAATACTGTGATGTCTTTAGGACATAGTTGGGTTATGTTATAACTTTGTTGACCCCTGTTATTTCGTTAGGACATACTGAGTTGTATTAGGGATTCTAGCTCTTTTACTAAATAACCCAGACCTACGTATGTTCTGATTGTATTTTGGGTTATTACATAATCAAAATTAGCATTACAGAGCTTTAAGCCACCTTAGAGACACTTTGAACCAAATCTCTTATTTTATCACAGAGAGACAAGCCCAAAGATGTTAACCTTCTTGCCAGAGACCACATAGAGCCAGAAAATGTTGATATTTTCATCTCTTCTAGGCTTTCAGCTACCAGGTCACTTTGCAACCAGTGTATGTTAATTGAAACATTTTTTCTGCACTTCTGATGTATAGTTCTGGTCTCCTGCAGGTTTAAAAGGCAAATTTTAATCAGGTTAAACATTTGTATTAAACATTTATATAAAGGATAAAATCTCTCTGAGTGAGATTCTCTCCTTGAGGAAATGCATACATTTTGGTGACATGTTTTGGTGACATATTTTGCTTATATGTCACTCTTGCTCTGTTCTGGATCAACAGAGTTCAAGGATGAGAGGTGAATGACAAATGAAGAGGAAGAGTAACTACTTGGTTCTGATGGTCCTTGGATTTATAGCGCAGATTTAGGGGAGCTGAGTTTAATTCCTAGATGTTTTATTTGTTCACTTGTTCCTCCTTTCATAATATGTAGAATGGCAGTAATAAATCTTTTCTTTTCTTTTCTTTTTTTTTTTTTTTTGAGACAGAGTCTTGCTCTGTTGCCCAGGCTGGAGTACAGTGGCGTAGCCTTGGCTCACCGCAACCTCCACCTCCTGGGTTAAACCATTCTCCTGCCTCATTCTCCCGAGTGCTGGGGCTACAGGCATGCACTATCATGCCTGGCTAAGTTTTTGTTGTTGTTTTTATTAGAGACAGGGTTTCACCATGTTGGCCAGGCTGGCCTTGAACTCCTGATCTCAGGTGATCTGCCCACCTTGGCCTCCCAGTGTGCTGGGATTATAGCCGTGACCCACCGTGGCCAGCCAGCTATAAATCTTTAGACCTTGATCATGCACCTAATTGGAAATTGTTTTTTGAATGTATGAGCACTACTAAATTAGTCAGTGGGCTTCATGGGATCTGTTTTGAAATTTATTGTGAAACCTTATGATTTATAAAGCACAAATTACTTTTATTTTCATTTCTTGAGGACACCATAGCACCAATATTTACAAAGCACGTATCTCATAAACTCTCTTGTGATATTGAAGACACGCCTGCAGCAGAACCCCAAACTTCCTGTCTTCCCTAACTCCAGCTGTCTCCCCAGTCTTCATCCCGATGGACCATGTTTTAGCCAACTAGAACTCGACCCTGAATATTATTTTTTCTCTTCCATGTTTTTGCTCATTCTATTTTTTCTACTATAAATGTGCTCTTCAAACAGTCTCTCCTCTCCCAAATTCTACTTAGGCCTCAAGACTCACCTCTCCAAATTAGATGATGGGACCCCTCTTCTTGAAGACCTCCTCCAACCCCCCATAACCTATTGCTTGTGCTTTATCACATTTAGATTTGTGTGTTCTTATTTGGATGCTTGCTTATTGCTCATAGTAGACTGACCATTTCCTAAGGCCCAGAGTTATAGCTAACTCATTTTTATGACCTGTATAGTACCAAACAGTGTACAGGTTGAGCATCCCAAATATGAAAATTTGAAATCTGAAATGCTCCAAAAATCCAAAACTTTTTGAGCATCACCATGATGTTCAATGGAAATGCTCGTTGGAACATTTTAGATTTTGGATTTTCAGTTTGGAGATGCTCAGTGGTAACTATAATGCAAACATTCCAAAATCCAAAACACTTCTGGCCCTAAGCCTTTTGGATAAGGGATACTCAACCTATATTTTATATGAAGTAGGTATCTCATTCGTATATTTATGGAATAAAAGTTACACTGAGGGTAACTTGCTTATGGGAGTGGAAGAGGAAGAAAATAATCTGAAACCGGGTCTTAAATCACTGACATTTTAATTTTGAAGAATTCAATATAGAGTTTAGTCATTACAAACTTTGTTGAGACATGCTTTTGGACATTTTAACATATAATTTGCAAAGTCGGACGTGATTTAAAAAATTCACATCATGGAGTTTAAGAGACTTCAGGCAGCAAAGAATTTTATTTCATGATAGTATGGTGATTAAGAGCACACACTTTGGAACCAGATTGTCTGGCTTTAAGTCCCAGCCCTGTCTCCGGCTGTGTGACAGCATGCACACTATGAACTATCTGTGCCCCGATTTTCTCATCTGTGAAATGGTGGCAATAACTATACTTTCCTCAGGGGCTTTTTGTGAGGATCAAATGAGTTGGTGTTCATAAAGTGTTTGGAATAGTCTCTGGCTCATAGCGCTATATAAGCATGAGCTGTCGTTACTAGGCAGTTTTAACAATTAAAGTGCATTTCCTTAGATTTCAAGTTTGATAGCTTGTGATTACAATAACAGGCTTCAGGAAAGGGCCAGGAATTCCAAGGGACCTATTGACACAGCTATGGATGTGCTACTATTTATTTTGGTTTGGTTTGTTCATGTGGTTTTTCCTCTGTGTGATTTATGTGTTACCATCATACCTGCATTGTTCTCAGGATTTAGGAGAACAGAAAAGGATAATCATCAATCTACCTGTCAGTCAGAAATAGAGCGACATGGATGGTTTGAATAAAAATGCTGCCCTCTCTGGCAAAATGCCATCTGTTGACATTGACATGGACAATCATATATGTGTATATCTGAATTTATTGCTGTAACTTCTTATTCTGTCATAAAATGGTGGACAAATTCACAAGGAGAAAAGTAACTTATCTTAGTTGTTGAAGAACTGTTGCAAAGGCTTTGAATTCTGCAATGCTATCATTTTACCAAGACAGAAATCTACTCATTATCCAGATGCACTCAATAAATTAATGCGATGATGGGTCCTGTCATTGATAAGATAACAGTGATTTGGAAGTATCTCAGTGTTATTAAACAAGATCACAGAAGAGCCATTAACATTTTAAAAACAGAGAGATCTTGTAGATAACCTAATCAAAATATTTTACTTTACTCATGGGGAAACTAAGATCCAGAATTGTGAAATGACTGGGTCTTAAATACATGCAGCTAGTAAGAAACACGGGCTGGTCTAAAAAACAGGAATGCCACTTCATTTAGGGCTTTTTTTTTTTTTCAATATCCCATGCTGCTTCTTATAAATTAGATAATTCTTTAATGGTGGAAGACTTTATTTTTTCTGTTGTTCTATATTCTTTATTGAGTGCCTGCTCAATAGAGAAGAGTTTACCTCTAAAAGGAGAACAAACAAAAGAATAATAAACCAGAAATCATATACTATCTTAGCAGGCAGTACATCATATGGGGAAAATAAGTGTGAGGAGATCAGAGTACTGGTGGAGGAGCATAGTTATTTTAAATAGATTAAAAGGTACAAACATACAGTCTGATAGAAGAAATAACACCTAGTGTTTGATAGATTAGTAGGGTGACCATCGTTTCTAAGAGTCTATTGCATGTTTCAAAACAGTTATAAGAGAATAATTTGAATGTCCTAGCATAAAGAAAAAACAAATATTTAAGATGATGCATATCCCAGTTATACTGATTTGATCTTTATAAATTATATGGATGTATTAAATTATCACATGTACCCCCAAAAGTGTGTACATCTCTTATGTATCAATAAGAAATAAAATTTCAAAAATACCCTTAAGAAATACATAAACAGAATGGTCAGGAAAGGCTTCTTTGAAAAAGTAACAGCTGATGAAAGGCTTGAATGAATTAATGGAGTTAACCATATGGCCATATGGAAGAATGTTCCAGACTCTGGGAAAAGGCCTTACTGCCCAGGCAGAAGGCCAGTGTAGTCAACTTAAGCCAATGGCTTAAGTGTAGCATGGGAGGCAGGAGGTATTAAATGAGATCAGAGAGGTGATGAAGGCCTGATCAGGGAAGCATGCCATTCATTGTAAGAATGATGGCTTTTCCACCGAAAGAGATGAGGAATTATTGCAGAGTTTTGAGTGACCATGGGACTTGATGCCTTAGGTTTTAATGGGATCACTGCCTGCTGTGTTGAGAATAGCTTGTGGAGAAGGATCCCAAGATCCCGGTGGAAATAGTCGGACCACTGAGGAGATTGTTGCTGTAATCCAGATGTGTTTGTAGGAGTTGTAGGAGGGAATGTAAAGACATTATTGGATTATTAGATTCTGAATATATTTTGAAGATAGATTTAGAATGATGTAATGATGAATTGGATATGGGATTTGAGTGAGAGGAGTCAAGGCTGATTTCAGTCTAAGTAGTTGAAAGGATACGGTTATCACCAACTGAGATGGAGATGATCTAAAGATCATTTTGCTCAGTCTCCCAATGCATAGGTGCCAAATAAATCAAGGTTCTTATCAAAATTAGAACTGTGGACATTACCTTCTCATAAAAATAAAGCGAGATATGCCTGAGAGCCTCCTGTAAATCAATACGGCTTTATGTGTGACTAGAGATCCTTATAAATACAAAAGAAAAGTTGCAGTGAAATTGAGGATGTCTGCCTAGACTACTCGGTAACACTATCCAGAACCCACAACACGTGATGATGGAATGAAGTCCCAGGGGGATGTAGAATAGGCTTCCAACAAACCACTTTATTCCTATTTTATGGTTTCTTTTTAATTCATCTTGTTCAGCATTCAAACCTGGTTCAAGTTGTTCAGTTTATCTAAAGCATATTGCCCCATCCCTCTCAGCTCACTTTCAGTCATCTTTTAAACTTTATTTCAGAAGTCTACTCATCTTAGAAATGTGCACTTTATCCCTAAGGTGAGCTAAGTACTTTCCTCTCTTTCCTCTAGGCTTTGACAGTATCCAGTATTTTCCACCCGTTTCCCATGTACTCTGCTGACATGCATGTATTCCTCAAGGTCAAGCATTTCTTTTATCCATGTACAGATGCTTCACATAGCACCATGTATACTATAAGCTCTAAGACTTTGAAGTACTTGCATGTCCCAGGTAGAGGTTTTTCTCCTTTCTCTATTAAGCTGTCAATTTTCTATATTTATGATGAAAATACACAGCAAAAGTAGTGTAAATGCTTATTTTACTTCTCAAATTACTCGTCAAGTTGCCAAGGTGCCAACTATTTTTTGTTCCACATATTATATCTTCTCTACTTCACTTTCTGGAAAGTAAAAAGCAGCAAAAAGGAGGTTATCAAGAGAGGAGAAGCAGGAAAAGTTCTAGACAGTCTACTTCATTTTTCTCATATTCTAGTACTCTAGACAGGGTGAAGGCTCCTGTTGCAGAAGTGATGGTCACATATTCCTGCAAATACCAAGTACTCAGTTCAGCCCGTGCCTGCAGTCTCTTTACATCCCTGTCCTCCTCTGCTTCTCAAATTTTACCTACTATGCAAAGTCTTGATCAGGTTCCACTCTTCTTTAGAGACATTTCCTATACTCTGTGGTCATCATTAAACTTTCCTCCTTAGTCTCTATTCCAGCAGCTCGAATCATCTTTAATACTCATGTGTGTATTTAAACATCCATCCTACCACATAGGTGTTTGATTCAGTCATGTGTGTTTTATATTATGAATTAGGTTTTAAGTCTCATCTTTGGTTTTATTTACCTCCTCATACCTAGAAAAACAGATTAAGCACTTGTTCTCTACAAGGCCCTGGGTTCAGAGTAGTAGAATTGAGAGAGACAGAAAGAGCTAGTTTCTGTCTTCCAGGAGCTTGGTTTCATCAAAGACATAAAAGCCTTGCCATTAACTGGAGTATAAGGTAGTATATGAGATGTATGAAGAAAAAATCCTTTAGTTTGAGGTGAAAAAAAAAAACCAAAAAGGAATAAGGCTAAGAAGGAAGAGAATCAGAGGCATCTTCATATTGCATGGATAGTTGAGGTGGGCCTTGAGAGTAACATATGATTCTGATGGGTGTGGTTATTTCAGGTGGGAGTAAAGGCCCAAGGGAAACAGACATGTTAAGTGCATGGTGAGTCGGCCAGTTGAGTCAGTATGAAGGAATTTGCTGATAGCGAACATTTATTAAGCACGTATTGTGTGTTCAGTGCTTTGCATGTATTGTCTAATCCTCACACACACAAAAAAAACATTGTTCCTTTTTGGAAATAAACTGATGGTGTAGAAATGATGATGATGATGATGATGATGATGAAGATGGTGATGATAGTGACAATCTGAATGGTGCAGAAGGAAATGGGATGCCATGCATGAGTCTAAGGAAGACTATGAGGAAGGAATACCACTGAACTAATTGAATGCGGAGAAGGAAGGAAACGATTCCATGCACATTAGTAATTTAGCGGTTGTTAGATTAATGAATCTCTGAGTGACAACCTCATACATTTATTCAACATGTATTTATTGGGTTCTCCTAAGTCTTTATGTATTTATTAATGTGCAAAATCAGTAGATTTATGACAGGAAGTGACTTGTGCTCCAATTTCCAGAAAACATTCATTACTTCTTCCTGATGAAGCTGCTCAGTTAAATAATATTAATTGTTCTTCCCCTGATGTTATACAAAAATTAAAATTGATAGAATACAGAACTTAAAAGACATTTTTACTTTACTTTTTGACATTATTCATTGTTTGTTGCTGATGAATGAAACCTCTTTTCGAGTGTGTGTTCCCTTTAATAGGCACTGGTAATTTATGTACTAAGATTTATTTCTGTATGGAAATTACAAGTGAAATTTCATATTGAATTTATATTTAGCCTGTTCTAGTACATAGTCTCTGCATAGTATATCCATGGCATCCTACTTAATATTACAGATTCTTTTATATTAGTGCTGCTACATGTGTATTCTCAAGCTTTTAATTGTACAATTATTACAAAAAGAGGTAAAAATATTTCCCCTACAAAATTGTTGCTGTTAATTTTTTCCTGTTTATTCATGGAGTATTCAAAGAAGAGCTGTGTGTTCATTACATTCCACAAGTTAGTCCATTCAGTTTGTTCAAAATATGAATTCTGATGTCCAGCAGTTAATATAAGATTTTGGCAGGCTATTAATAATGGCATACTCAATTTGTAGCTCTTTCATCCATGTAATTTTGGTGATGTATGCACTATGTTCCAGGGAAAGGAATAGTTCAAGATTAAAGAGGCAATCAGTGTATTGGTGCTTATTTTCAGTGTGTCAAAGCTGCTAAATGAAAGGGTGCAATTTCTACTTGTACAATTTCCACTTGTGCTGCTCAAAAACAAGCCATTGATATTAGACGTGTATCAAGCATACGTGGTTGCAGATGTAAATAATTAACATTAAAAACATTTTCTTCTTTAGTTGTGTATTTAGAACAGTGATACTTAGTTAATATCAACAGCTTATTTTTAGAATCTGAATTTTAAAAGTAGTGAAAATACTTCTAGTGATTAAAACAATGTATGAAAAGAAAAAAATTAGTAGGCTATTTTAATATAATTAGTGAGTATGCTATTTTAACATAATTCAAAGATGCATTCCTATTTTAATTAAAGCTCATTCAGTATGCAAGAATTCCAGTTTCCATTACTTCTTGCTGCTGCTGTCTGATCTTGTGTTTCTTGAGGGACACTTCTTTTATGAGCAATTCTTTTGCATTTGCACCCAGATTCCTTCACGTCCAAAGCAGTAGTTTAAAAGAGAAGGCTACATTTTTCCATTTTGGCCTGGAACTTAGATTTTTGTTCTGCTTACTTCTTCTTTAAGTATAGTGAATATATAAACTTGTAGGCACTCCTTTGCAGACAGACTTCAGAATCACATGTTCAGATGAATGTGGGAATGTAGGCAGAAATCAGAAACCTGATTGTGCTTCACCGCTTCAGACCCTGCCCTATGAGGCCCTCCTTGTAGAAGAAGAAATGGAACTGAACCAATAACTGAAGTGAAAAACCCTTCTGGAAACTGTATATATGAAAAGATTCCATTTAGATCCATTGAATTTTGCCTTTCATTTTCAAACTTGCAAATAGAAGCAGCATTTTAATATTTTTCAAGAGGGGGAAAAAAAAGAGCGTGGTTCCCTGGCCCTATTGTATCACTTCCATTTTGTCTGGAACTGATTTCATGCAGGAGATGCACTGGAATCAGCATGCAAATTCTATGTGGCTGTTGTTCAGTCTGTTTTTGATTCATCGTGGTAAAATATGCATACCATGAAATTTGCTGTCTTAGCCATTGTTAGGCGTACAGTTTGGTAGTGTCAGATGTGTTCACATTGTTGTGAGAAAGAGCTCCAGACTTTGTCATCTTGCAAACATGAAACTCTGTACCCATTGAACAACAACTCCTGGTTTTCCCCACCCTCCAGTCCCTGGCAACCACCATTCTACTTTGTGTTTCTGTGAAACATCATATAAGTGGAATCATGCGTTATTTGTCTCATGTGACTGGCTTATTTCACTTAGCACAGTGCCCTCAAAGTTCACGTGTATTGCAACATGCATCAGAATGTCCTTCATTTTTAAGACTGAATAATATTCCATTATATATACAGTCATACGTCACTTAATGACAAGGATATGTTCTAAGAAATACGTCATTGGACCATTTCATCGCTGTACGAACATCATAGAGTGACTTAACACAAGCCTTGATGGTATAGCCAACTACACACCTAGGCTAATCGATAGAATCTTTTGCTCCTAGGCTACAAACTGTGCAAGTATGTTACTGTACTAAGTAGTATAGGCAATTGTAACACAATCGTAAGTATTTATATATGTAAACATATCTAAACAGAGAAAAGGTACAGTAAAAATACAGTATTATAATCTTATGGGACCACTGTCGTAGATGCAGTTTCCTGTTGACCAAAATGTCCTTATATGGCACGTGATGGTATATGCCATATTTTGTTTATCTCTTCTTGCATCAGTGAACACTTGGGTTACTTCCACCTCTTAACCGGTTAATAATACTGATATGAACATGGGTATAACATTCTAATTATGTTTTGTTCATCTGTGGTGGGTGTGAAAGTTAAACCAATGGAACCTTTTTTTAGTGAATTTAGTCAAATTTCTGAAAACCAAGAATTCCTATGGAAACATACTGATAAACATACTTTTCTTATTATATATTAAAAATGCTTGTAGGGAAAACCCAGCTTCTAATAGTACTCTGGGTTTGTGAAGATGCAGTAAGTGCTTGCTAGAGAGATGTTTTTAATCTAGAGAGCTAGAGCAGAGACTTAGAGTTCACTTGTTTCTTCTCTTTTTTTCAATCATTTATAAGATCTCTCATCTTAACTCATTAAAACTGGCTGATTGACTTTGATTACTGACACACCCAAACTATTTCAAACCAGTTAGTTCAAAAATGCAGTTGCCTCTTTGAATTATTTATAAAAAGGATCTCATTACATTTTTCCATAGATAACGATGATGGCAAAGGGGAAGAAGGGATCATTATGCCACTCCTTTAAAATGCGGGCTTCTGGCCTGGCACGGTGACTCACACCTGTAATCTCAGCACTTTGGGAGGCCGAGGCAAGCGGATCACCTGAGGGCAGGAGTTGGAGACCAGCCTGGCCAAAATGGTGGAACCCCATCTCTGCTAAAGATACAAAAATTAGCCAGGTGTAATGGTGGGTGCCTGTAGTCCCAGCTACTTGAGAGGCTGAGGCAGGAGAATCACTTGAACCTGGGAGGTGGAGGTTGTAGTGAGCCGAGATCTCATGACTGCACTCCAGCCAGGGCGACAGAGTGAGACTCCATCTCAAAAAAAAAAAAAAGTGACATGCTGGTTAAAGGTCCCTGTCCATATCCCCCTTTTGCAACTATTTAATCCCCAGCAAAGTCCTAGCCAGGATTTCCTGGTAAGAGTTTTTCTGCTCTGCGTTGTCAACAGACTATTTTCTCCAACTGAGCTCATGGAAGTAACCTAGTTTCTATCACTAGTGGGTCTCAGTCAGAAAAATATGAGTGTAGGTTATTGAAGTGTCAGGGTTGTGGTGGCCCTCTTGGCTGTGTGCTTACTGGGGATGAAGTACATGGTGGAATGAAGGCTCTTACTAGGGAGACTTCTGAGTTACTAGTTTCACCACACAGCTGTCTCACCCAGTATCTTGGAACTGTTTCTTGCTTCATGTGTGTGAAAAATATAGTAAATTTCCTGGTCATATTTTAGCATAATTAATTATACCAACTATTAATTTAATATTTTGTTTGATTTTTAGTTTCCAGGGTAAAACATTAATTTTCTCTTTAATTTCCATTCTATAAGATTCCTATTGTTTTCAGCAAATAGGAGTTTCCTTCTCTGTAAGCATTGCTGACTCAAGACTATATAATGTTAGAAATAGAAAAAAGATAAGAACATGTTAGTATCAATAGCCTTTATTATTATAATCGGTATGGGCCTAACTTCTGCTAGCAACATTAAAAATCTTTTCTTTTACTCTATCATTTAGTAACGGATTTTCTTTTGGTTGTGTCGAATAGAATTGTTTCCTTGATGTTCCTTGATAGAGAGTGTTCTCTTTAATATAGGAATACAGTAAAGAAAGCATCCACAGTTTGTGAGGCAGAGTTTAGTGCTGATGTGTACAGAAACTCAAGTGATATTTAGACAACTGAGTCCTTACTGGGAATCACTTAAGCCTTAAAACATCTCTGCCATTATGCTGCTTATTTTACATTGTTCTGGATAGATGCTCATTATCCAGTTCTCATTCATGATGAGCATGGGATTGATAAGGGAGCTGACATGAAAATTATGGAGAAAAAATGCAAATAGCAAAAGATAGAATAAAGCATGTATACCTCATGATCATTTTCCCCATTGATATTGATTTGGACTCACTCTTGATGTATCAGGTGTGTTCAATCTTTGGCAAACATTTAGGGTTTTCGTTTTTGCTGAGGTCCACTTGAACCCTGGAGCCCAAAAGAAGTAACCAAAAATTTCTATAGCTTAGTAAATTCCATGTTCTAGAACTTTTAATGTGGACCTCAGAAAAAGGAAATAACCAAGAGTGCCGAAAGCTACATGTACTTTGAATTGTTCAGCATGTATAAAACCCAATGGCTAACCGTGTCTAGAAAGAAGGAGATAAGTAAAGTAAGATTGGAGCCTGGCGTTTGGAGTTCAGCAACTTTTCTCTGTTGTGCGCTGACATTTAAGTTAATAGAGTGATTTCTGGTGGATTTCTTTGAAACAAGACAGTTCATCTGAGATTTGGTTAAAAAATATTTCATTACTTTGAGGAAGTGATTAGGGTTGGTCTTATTTAGTTGGGGCTTTCAAAATTGATAGTTTTGCCTGATGGTATATGCTAAAACATTGAATTGTGAGTTTCCTAGCCAGACTGGACCCTAAGCCCATCATTTGGAAATAGTCTTTCTTATTTTTGTTATTCTTGTATTTATTAAAGAACATTGGACTAGTGAAAATTACAAAAGAAAGGAAAATGACACAATACACTACATTCTGTTGTATCCCATTTCTATCTCAGGGAATTATGTGTGTTTACCAAACTGATGTCTAGATGAACATTCAATTTCGTATCTTGCCATTTAAAATTTAACATCATGTGCATTTTTATGTCATTAAATGTCCAAACACCTGGAATTTTTACGTTTGATTTGTTATTGCTAAAAAGTACTTCTCTTGATTTTTAGGGGTTTTCACTTTTAATTAAAACATATTCTTGAAACTCCTTCTCTTCTCCTTGGCTAAACCTGTTATGCTACAGGACTTCAGGATAACTTGAGCTGCTTTGGCTCTTTGATTAAGTGCAGATGTATTTAGGGTTTGAGGTGAAAGGGTTTTTAGGACAAATCGCATTCCAGTTTGAGGGAAAAAGAGAGAGAGGAAGTTTTGGAAGTTACAAATTCATTAAATTTTTGCTTCCACATGGAATCCACAACTTTTCCTTTTCCCTGGCTGCCTTTCTCTTCTTCATTGAGTTTTCCAGGCCTCTCTTCCTTCTGCACAGGCTCCAAAGAGAATGGCTGACTATAAGGGTTATTAGTGATATTTTGGGAGTTATTCCGTTCTTATCCACTCTCCCACCAACACACACACTCTCACACCTCCTCCCATCAAAGCTTGGGATCTCTGGGAACAGGGAAACATATCAAGATATTAGAAGACGTCAATGTTATATATGCAGAAATGGTGAAAAATCAATGAATTTAGTAAGTTAAATTTGTTTGGGTAGCATTTTAAAAATATTTAAGTACTTTGACATATGTTACCCCCTAATACACAGAGGGTGCTCAGACAGCATTTGCTACAGGAGTGAACCCTGGCCAAAGCTGTTTTAACCAAGGGACAGTGGAGGCCCAGAGAGGTTCGTTGGTTTGCTTAAAATCACACATCCATGGGTAAGCAAGGTGATGGATAATCAGCTCAATTGAGTCAGTTTACATTGTATACACATAACAAAGCATCATGTTGTGCCCTGTAAATGTATAGAATTATGATTTGTCAGTTAAAAATAATATTAATAAAGTAAATAAAATCACACATCTCACATTGAGAGGAGGGCAGCCTAGACCCAGATTTCTGTTAGCCCCAGGAATTGAGGCATATATGGGAGACTAGCAGACAACACACATAGGAAACTTTTGCCACTTAATTATTATTCTTTTTCTCAAGACCACTATATTCATTTGGGTTTGTTCTTATGCTTTTTTTTTTTTTTAGCAAATTAAAAAAAAATTATCCTTGAATGATTCTAGGTTAGCTTTTTGACTAATGGATGTTGGAAGGAGCTCAGTGACAAAGGCCAGGGATTATTTTGCTTTTCCTCACCTCTTCCTTTGTTCCTCCTCATCATATTACAACCTTCTGCTTCAGGATTCCTTCTGCTTTTTAGCAGGATTGACATGCTGGGCCTTACCCGGAAAGGCAAAGGCTGATTTGATTAGGGAGGTCTTTGTTCCAGGTATCTCACATCAGAGAGCCTTCATAACAAATGAGAGGAATGGATTAGAAGTTTCCTGGGGATAATTTTTTGTCTACCCTTTAAGGGAAATCTTGCCTTCATTAATTACATCTCAAATGGAATATGTGGAATATAGACATTTTCATAATCAACAAGGTGATTTTCATTTTAAAATGCTTAAAAAATGTTAAGCAGCATGTATGCACGCACACACATGCAACCAATTTCTTCCACCTTTTTCTTGTTTTAATTCTTAAAATATGAATTTTTAAATATAAGGAAAATCCTAAAAGCAGAAACTAATAAATACTAATAAAATGTTAATTACATTGATTAAATCATTAGTATTTTAAGATGGGCCCCTGAAATGTCTCCATAAATAAGCTTAATGTGCTTTCATTTAAACAACAATTCAGTTAGTAAATTCAATAAAAAGCAAACTAATGTGACATAAACATATTTATGTGATTAGAAAATCATTATATCCACTTTAAGTGAAAAGAAAAAGTCTTCATTTTTGTGTTACTTTTCCAAACCTCCTTTTGGCACTGAATTGTACTTTATGGGGGTGTCTTGTCATTTTTTTCTAAATTAACTACACCTCTGCTTGCCTGGAAACTAGAGCCATTCTGACTTCTATTCCGATATGTGTTTTTCATCTCCTACTTTTTTTTTTTTTGAGACAGTCTTGCTCTGTCGCCCAGGCTGGAGTGCAGTGGCACAATCTCGGCTCACTGCAACCTCCACCTCCCGGGTTCCAGCGATTCTCCTGCCTCAGCCTCCCAAGTAGCTGGGACTACAGGCACGTGCCACCACGCCCCACTAATTTTTGTATTTTTTAATAGAGATGGGGTTTCACCATATTGGCCAGGCTGGTCTCGAACTCCTGACCTTGTGATCCACCCTCCTTGGCCTCCCAAAGTGCTGGGATTACAGGTGTGAGCCACCATGCCTGGCCTTCATCTTCTACTTTTTTTATTTTTAAATATTTTTTATTCACTATTGCTGACATCACTCTCCTACCTACTCGGTATTCTTTCATTATGAGAATCTCCCACATGAAAAATAGTGGCACCTCTGGAACTCCCAAATTCTAGTTTAGACAGATTAATCCACATTTATGTTACTATTTATAACAGCACAACTCTGTAAATAAATCCAAATGTCCATGATTTATTGGTTACATGTTATGATATTCTGTAGAATGGATATTATTGTAGCCAAAAAATTAATTTACATAGGTACACAGATGATGACATGGTAAGCTTTCTTTAATTAGAAAATGTTTCTTTCATTTAATATCTTTCATCTTAAGATCAAAAACAATCTTGCAATATTGACCTTACAGCACTGTTCTTCTGTTATCCTCATTAAAATAATATCAATAACAATATAGTAATAATGGCCATTGTTGTTGTTATGTTCTCTGAGGCATTTAGCTCAGAGAATGTTGAGAAAAAAACCTGACAAAGTACTTAAATATTCTTGATGCCATCTCTCTCACTCTTCATAGGTTGTGGATATAAAGAACTCTGTTTTTTTCATTTTTTATAAGCCACAAACAATGAAGTAATCATTTCTTTGTTAAAACAAGAATGTGCAGATTATTCTCACTGAAAAGTTAAAATTGAGTTGTATTTAAGAATAAGCATCTAGTCTTGACCATAGTGTTTATGCCTATAATTAAAACAAACCAAAGCCAAAAACATATCTTTCAAATGGTTTGGTGTCACACCACAAAGCGAGTTATTTTAAAGCCATTGGAGGATTCTAGCAACTGAGCAAATACCGCTGATCTAGTCAATATCAATTGATAATGTATTATATGAAGGAAAGTAAAATCTCTTTCAAAACTTTATACATGTTTCAATTCAGTTAATTATGTAATAATAGAAATGGCACTATCATATAAGAGGGTAGATGATATAATTTATAGATCATTTTATCACTTAAAGCACCTCTAAGTGTAGAAATAGAATCATAGAACCTCATATTCAAAAGCCTTTCTGTTTATCTATAGTGGAATCGATTAAATCATATTTGTGTAATAAATGACAGTCATAACAAATACAGTAATTAAAATACAGTTGTTTTACAAATCACTGTCTTCCACTCTTTCCACTTCCAGCATTTTCTTTTGATGGGTTAGAAGATTAAATAGCAAGTTGTAATTTTAAGTTATGGCTCTTTGACAGTGGAAAATGGATTAAAAAAACACACAACAACCTACTAAGTCTTGTAGTTTCTTCCATGTGGTCTTTTCTTATCTAGAGATAGTAAGTCAGGCATCTACAGGAAAAGAATCCACTCTAGTGAATTCGTGCCTGCCTTTGAACTGTGAAAATCCTTTGCATTGCCCCACATTTCTAAAGACCCATGAATTGTGCGGTCAGCTAGAAATATCCTGTTTCAAAATTGAGATTACGTGACACTGCCCTAGAATGACACTTGAGCTGAATGCTCTTGTCCACTGCTGTAGGGTACACATGAAACCTTTTACTTAGAAATTTAAGGTTCTTCATGTGGCTGGAAAAATGCCACAACATGACTTTTATCAGGCTAAAATTTACTGTGTCATGACGAAAATTGAATAAAGTAATCTTGACTCATTTTAATTTATTTCACCTATGTCTGACTCCAGCTTTATCCTAATATACAGGACAAAAGTTATTTCCATAGGAGCATCTATTATTTGCCTCTATTTCTAACCCTGTACAGGTATGTTAGAAACACTGAACATAATTTTATATATGTCTTTGTCTCATCAATACAGTGCAGTTTTATTTTTTAACTGAAGAATTCGTGTTTTGACATATAAGGGGTTACCAGAGCTATCCAATTTTATTTTATGAAACAAAATTGTAATTATTCAAAGTCCAAGACATGAACAGAAAATAAAAAGTAATGTTTAATTCATGTAAGAAAGCATAACTGAAGCTCATTAGTCAAACTAAAAAGCTCATGAAATTTCTCACCTGAATCTTTCCTCACCCTGGGCAGAGACTTCCTTTCAATTTGTGCTCAATTTTAGGCAACATTTAAGGATCTGAATAGGCAAAGAGTGAGAGCAATGATTGTAAATGTGTTGTTTTAAAAGGTTTCTCCACTAAATTCGTATATGACAACTGAAAAAAACCTTGGGACAATGTCATTCAGACCACAGGAAAGTGCTTGAATATGTTCTCTGATGCTCTTTTTAGAGCAGCTGATATAAAAAGCAAAGAATTTTATGTCCAAAAGACTTAGGCAAAATATCCGAACGGAATGCTGAATGCATGGCTTTTCAATTTATCACAGTTTATAGACACTTTACATCTATAGTAGTAATTTAATTTAATTTCTTAGAATTATGGAAAGAACAAATGGTATCATTTAGTATAAATGGTTCTCTGCTCCCCTCACCTCCGGAGTTTTAAAGATGGTAAAACTAGGACTCAGAGATGTGAAGTGGCTCACCCTTGATCACACAAGGAGACAGTGATATATTTTGGTTGAGCCCAAGTCTCCTTCTGAATCTAGAGCTATAGCTGTTAAACTAAGGTACTTCTCAATCATATCCATGGAGCAAGGATGTGAGAGTAGTTGGCTTTTGTATTATATGGGATACCACTGCAAAAAAGTAAGCATGACAGTTTCACCTTAGGGGTGAATTTCATGCTTTGCACCAGTTCAATACAATGATGAGAGAATGGCTCTCATGGTACTGAATTGGACACTGTACAAATTCATGGTGTTATTCATATTACTGGCCATAAAAAGAGCAAGATCACATTTATATATGTTCTGGTGAAAATTACTCTCCAGTGTTTCTGCTGTCACCTACCCAAACCAAGCTGTATATTTTTTTCTTGAGAATTTTGCATCCATACTGTTTCTTGTTTGGTTTGCACTGACGAAGAACATTCTTCCTCCACAGCACAGATCTAGTTATTTGCAAAAGATATTTTTAAAATTATAAGCAAATGTTGATTTAGACTCCTTACACATTAATTAAGAGAAGCACTTTTGTGGATGTTCTTTGGCTTAGTTCAAGACTTTGTCAATCTGACTTTTCATTAAGACTTTATTTATTATTTTCCCCAAAAAGTACTTGTTGCTCAGATTTGAATAAGAGTAGTTTACTTGTCTACAGATAAAAACACCTTGGCTGTATTCAAAGAGTAAAATATTTAATTCAAATTTTAGGCTATCTGAATTTTATCCTTTCTGCTTAGAAATGATAAACAAATATTTATTCTTTTATTGAGCAACAGCTATATTCCAGAACTGTTTTAAATGCTTGAGATTGGGGAATAGAGATAAGTGATACTAGCTTGGTATGCACGTATATGGGTGACCAGGGGGATTGTTAGGAAGAGGAAGAAAGAGAACTATTACAAACACGCATTTATAAGGCAGCTTTTAATCATCAATAAAATATGGTAAAATATGTTAGTTTATTAATTATTTGATTAAACACATACTTTTTTGTATGTGAAATACTCAAGTTAATTTGTCTTGTTTATTTGGCCTTGCTTGAATTTACTAAGTAAACAGAAATTTCTAGCCATTCTCAATTCAAATGACCACAAATTGAGAGAATCAGGAACACTTAGATACTTAGCCAACACTTTTCACTAACTTATTTAGGATATATGCCTGAGATCATGACAATAATAATAATCATGGTAAAAGTAGCAATTATTGTTATTTTAATAGTCATAACAGATGAGTGTTGCCATGGAGGTCAGTATCACAACACAGCCAAGTCCATCTGCCTCATTTTGATGTTTTAGTGGCCACCTAACTGATACCGTCTGGTGACACTCAGGTCAGTGACTCCCGCTTTTTCTAAGGGATGGCCTCAGTGGTTTGGGGAAGGTGCCAAGGAAAGCTAACTGGGGACTTGCTCCTGATAAGTCAGTGATCATGGACCACAACAGGTGGCCATGACCCCAGGGGGGCTTTGCACACTTGGAAAGGTGGAGTTGTGCAACATTTTGCTGTCTGGCTGCCACCTTCAGTGGCAGATCTATTGCCACTTGGGTTGTCTTTCTCATAATTATGTTCCGTATTTCTCAATATGACAGAAGTTTGTTAACCTAGTTTTAGTTCTAACTCTGCCATTTACTGCTCATGTGACCCTTGGCAATCTGTTTAAATTTTAGCATTTTCATGTTTTTCCCACCTATAAAATTAATATACTTTTCTCAGGTTAGCTGTGAAGGTTAAATGAGATGATATATGTGAATAGGATTTTGTAAACTTTAACAACGGCTGACACTTACTCAATATTGGCTATGGTTTTATCAGATAGGCATGGATTGAGTTATGCAGCTTCTCTGTTCTCACCTTGTCCTTGGTGCCTGGGGAATGTCTAGTATTCGTAGTCAGTGCAGTCATCCCAGTTCCTGCAACGTGGTACTGATAGGAGGAACAACAATCAACATTTAAGTTTTGTCTAACTTGCCTAAGTTTCTTCCATTTACAGTAAGTGATGAGAAATGGGGTATAAGTGTGAGATTTATGTCACTATTCAAGTGGGGATGGTTAAGTCAATTAATATTAAGTAATATTATTTAAATTAATTATTGTCTCCTTGACTCTAATGTAGGAATACATTATATAAAAAGTAAAGATTTTGTCATCTCATCATCCACAGTGTTTTGCATGTGCTAGGTTCTTAGAAAATACTTTTTTAATGATTGGCTTTTGTGTTTACCTCAAGAGTATAGAGAGAGACTGAAAAATATGTAAAATTATGATAATCCTGAAGTTTAAGGTTCATGAATCAAATTTTCCTCTTCAAACAGGTGAATAATTTTGAAATTTATTAGTAAATATTTAAGTTGACTCTTTCCCAAATACTGCCTAACTTCTTTTCTTCTATAATTAAGTCAGATAATTTTAGGAAATTGGACAATTTAGTCATCTTTCTATAGCATGTACACTACAGATGACTATTAAATTATGATTCCTTCAGAATCTTTATTTTACAAGAATATAATTAAGCTTGGCTCAGTGGCTCATGCCTGTAATCCCAGCACTTTGGGAAGCTGAGCGGGGTGGATCACTTGAGCTCAGGAGTTTGAGACCAGCCTGAGCAACATGGGGAGATCCTGTCTCTACAAAATATACAAAAAATTAGCCAGGCATGGTGGCACATTCCTGTAGTCCCAGCTACTTGGGAGGCTGAGATAGGAGAATCACTTGAACCTGGGAGACGAGGTTGCACTGAGCTGAGATCATGCCACTGCACTCCAGCCTGGGTGACAGAGCCAGACCCTGTCTCAAAAAAAAAGAAAAAAATTATTCAATCATTTATATTTTCTGGAATTTTTTCTAAAATTTCTCCCAGATACTTTAAAAATACTCCTGCAAACAATTTCCACTTGCCTAGCAGGCCATTCAGACCACAGAACTAAAAGCAAAATTTATCAGCCTTTCCTTCCAATTTGCCATACCCCCACAAATCGCACTTATAAAGTCAAGAGTAAGCACATTTCTAACAAGGACCAAAACTTTTTTCTCACCAATGACACTTTCCTATATCAAGTGTACCTAATCAGGCCTATCATTAAGAAACACAACCTTTGCTGTCCTCTGCTATATCACATCATCTTTTCAATTCAGATTCTATTTACAAAAATCCTCTAAACTCATTGGTTTTTCTACAATGGTTTTTGATCACATTATATTACTGACAAATGCTATTTTTATCTCCTATATGGGTGAATCATGCATATTAACTCTTTCCTGGGATGATGGACATAAAAAATCTCCTTTAGAGATTTAATTACATTTAAATTATTTTCAAGTCAAGTAGAGTATAAATTCACATTTTACAACAGCCCATCATAGAAGTCTCACTGGATTTGTTTTCTTTCCGCTAATGTCCCAGGTCACCTATCTGAAATAAGCTACTTAAAAAGGACAGGGTGGGGAGATGGCAGAGAACTGTGCTGCAGGTTTGGGAAGCAAAGAAACAAATAATAATGTAAATGTCATCTGTGATCTAAGATTGCTATCAGTATCAGATATTTTGGCTTTTGGTCCTCTAGCCTACCTAACATAGACTTTTTTTTTTCTATTCAAAAAAATATTACACTTGTAGGAAATGACTAGTGTTGACTTTCTCACTCTGAGTCCAATTACGGGTTCTTTAAACTGCTCATCGCTAGTATTATATGATGGTCAGCTTTAATGAGTGCTCAGAAGCACTCTCATTATATACAAGGCTTTTGAAATAAGCTCCTGTCTCGATCAATTGCTTCACCTTCTTCAGAGCAATTAGCATAAGAATAAAGGAGGTTAAATTGGACTTCCGGGCTTTGGTGAAATTAATTAATACCACTTCACCGGTAAGGACAATAAGTAGATAACCATTTTCATTACTTTATGTGAAAGACAGATTATCACATGCACAGCACCCAGACTAGTACAAAAGTAACCCATGCTGAATGTGCTATCTTTTAAGTCCATGTATTATGAAAGATTTTTTTCCTGTAATTTTAATAGCTCAAAAAAAGTTTTAATTTATTGGTGACGAGCTGGGTAAAGGTTGGCCATTACATACTGGCAACTGCTTGGGTAGGATGTAAGTTGAAAAATATAAGAAAAAGAATGGCATTAAAAAAAAAGTAGCCTGACTGGGTGCTGTGCACTTGTAGTTCCAGCTACTCACTAGGAGGCTGAGGTGGGAGGATCGCTTGAGTCCAGGAGTTCGAGTCCAGCCTGGAAAATATAGCAAGACATCACCCCAAAATAAAATAAAAGGAAAAAGGAAATATCTGTACTCAGATATAATAAGCTATCTATTCTAGACAAATGACTGATTAGTATTTTCATGCTCATTCTTGTACATAAAAGGTAAAGTGTCCTATAACCATCATATTTTTTGGAATTCCAGAGCATAATGCCAGCGATTTAACTGTATGGATAGTAGTTAAATCCTTAACAATATATAGTACATGTTCATTTTCTAAATAGTAGTTTTAATGTTATAAATGAAATGCAGCTTTTGCAAATTGAAAATCATGATAATAGAAGTCTGTACCCTCCCTTTATGGCCCATTAACTATCTTTGCATCATAATATAGTTATCTTTCTCAAAAAAATTAAGCATTTAGCTCTCTCAAAGATGCTGTCACTTTTTTACCCTAATACGTAACAAAGTTGAATGGACTCCTTTCCTCCACTGTTGTATAAATTTAATCTACATTACAAGATACCACACTACTATTCAAGATCTATTTGAGTGTTTAGGCATTTCTTACCAAAATAATCTGATACCTACTTTTTAAAGAAGTCAACTGGTCATGTCAGTGAAAATGGCTTAATTTTGGCATATAGTTAGTAAAGGCTAAATTGCAAGTCCAATCTATTTTTCTGATCTTATGTGTTCACCTGAAAGCAAAATAATGAGTTCAGATATTCTTGCATGGAAACATACTCATTGTGATCAGAATGAAGGAAGTTATTGCTAATGCACTTACAAATATGTTTATCCCTGCGAGCTAATGTGTCTCAATTCCTGAAAGTCATTATTACCTTGCTCCTTTCTAGTATTTTAAAAGATGAAAAAGTGATAAATTTCAAAATAATAAAACATCATTATTTTTGACATTGAGGATGTCATTTTGTAAATTAACCTATGACATTTTTACTTTTTGGTTAATCCTTCAGATTTACTCTTCATTGCTTTTAACTATGAATTAAAGTAATGAGTTGAATTAGGTAAATGTCTAACATAATTACCATGTCCTCAGTAAAAGATGATTGTTAATGTGTCTGATGATGGCTGGTTGACTAGAAATTATCTTCAGTTCCACATTTTCAAAATGAATGCACCGTGGGTGGAATGGAAAATAATAATTTAAGGCACATTAACCATTAATATAGATCTAGGGTGACCAATTGCCCCTGTTTGCCCAGGACAGGGAACTTTGGGTTTTAAAACTGATACCAAGGGGTACCTGGGATGCTGAATGTTCAGTGCTAAAACCAGGAAAGTCCAGGCAAGTGCTGAGTGGATCAGGCTACATAGATTACTGCACAATTAATTATAGTAAATTGATTCTGTATGCAACTTAAATAAACCCAGTTTATTGAGGCATGATCCAGTTTGCCCGTGTGAGAACCTGATTTCTGTGAACATGGAGATTTAGCCATAGGTGGCTGAAGGAGAGACATAATATAGATGATGATGTTAATGATAGCAATGGTAACCATTTATTGATGACAGGACTGGACTTTTTTAAGACTTAGCCAAAGATAACATTCTCTGAAATCTTTCTTGATATCCTTACCCTACCCAGAATTTTCTGATTCTTCCTTTTTACTCCCAATGTAACCTGTGCCGAAGTTTATTATAATGCCCTTAAACTTCCTTATTTGTTTATTTGTCTTCCTCTGCTAGAATATAAGCTTCTTTAGGAGGATAGAGGCATTATGTTATTTATCTTTGTACCCCAAGCATCCAGTATATTTAGTGAATGAATGAATGACCTAGGTATTTTTTTTTACTCTTCAAAGTAATACAATAAAATACATGATACCATCCTGTTTTACTGATGAGAAACAAGTATCTAAGATGTTCTGTAACAAGCATAAGAATACGTTAATAAATTATGAAGCCAAAGATGGAAAATCAGATCTGTCTGATTGCAAAGCCAGTTCTCTTTCCATTACTCTGTATTAAATAATGCTGGCCAAACATAGTGACTTGGAGGACCCTCTCCTTTCAGTAAGAGAGTAGGAATCAGATATACAAATGAAGACTATGTCAGTCTTATTATGGATACTGATGAAAGTTTTCTGGTAATCTGCAAAATAGATTTTATAGATAATTGCTGTGGAAAAGAAGTGACTAAATGTAAAATATAATCTCTGCTGGTATGTTTAGACCAGGAAATCAAAATGCATGACCTAGTCAGACAAAGCAAAAGGTTCTTTACGTGTTCTTCTTGTATCATCAGTGAGCCTTTTTCATTTAAGTACAATGAAGTGTCTCTGCCTTAAGAAATTCTTCAGAGGCAGAAATTCATTATTCTTTATTAACTCACTGTGCCCTTCTCCTTCTTCTGCACCTTTTCCTGTGTATTGTCTCCCATTTTAAAATGTATTAACTGAGAACTAAAGATAGCAAAGTGTTGTCAATATTATAAAGTATAGTAAGACAGCATAGAACTACATGGAGAATATATTGATAACAGCATCTTTTACACAGTGATGAATTAATAATTAAACCAAACAAAACCAAACAACAAAACAGTTTTACAGCTACTTGGGAAATATCTGTAAACAAAGTTTCATAATAATTAACTCTTGGAATATCGTCACTTGTACAAATGCTGCAATTCTAGCAAGTTTGGGACACTTACAGGAAACTGTCTGCAAATAAACATGTATAATGATTTTAGTGTATATGACATGAAACAGACGGCGACCCATTTATTAAGGTCCATTACACAGATATAGGAGGGACTTTAAAGGCATCACAAAATACTTGCCAGGAAGTAAATGTTGACTATTTCCAAATCTCAGTGCAAAATGAGATAGATAACGTTAACATGCACATGGAGTAATACATTCTTTAAGTACCTATTCAGTGAGGACCTGCTATGTGCAAGGCACGTATTCCAGATATATATTAATGAAAATTGTGATCAGTTAAAAATAAATGTTACTATTTTCATTGATCTCATTTTCTATTTTCAATAAATCAATTACAGGTAAAATGTGTTATGAGTGACAAAATGACTGGAAAGTTTTTGCCTTAATCAAAATTTGTGTAATTATTTTTTGTAGGTAATCAGGTGATTTAGAAGCTTAGGAAATTATGATGCTATTTTTATAGTTATTATGCTATTATTATGATGAATCACCCATTCATGTGCATTAAGCAGCATTGATTAATATTTAGATTTTCAGCGTTTTAAGTGTCTGTACCTTATTTACATATTATTAAAAAGTCACCTTGGTTGTAATCATCTGTCTTCCCATGATCACAATACAGGTTTGTGGTTTTCAATATGTCATGACTAAGAAGAGATTTTATGGTGCTTAAATATGTAGTAAATTCATTAAACCTTAGTCATGAGTAAAATGATCCCTGTAATACCACTAGTTGCATAATACCTGCTTCTGATGCCTGCTTTTAATTTTTCTAAATACATTGGCTGGTTTCTAGAAGATAAATGTAATATTCTACAGAGCTATAGACTGTTTTGCCACTTGGAATATCTCGAACAGTTGTCATGGGCAAGGCCGCAGGTGCTATATCCCAAGTGTATACTGCTTTTATTTTTACATGTACAAAATATTAGAATAATAAATATATGGTAAGGCTTCTAGAAATGAAAACTGTTGTCAATCTGTAATTTATAGAAAATTTATGTAAGAAAACTTATGTTGTCTTTTAAGCAATTCTCCTGCATAATAACTTAGTTTAGAGTAAGAAATATGCATCTTATCTAAACTGATTTATAGACCACATGCTATTTTTACAAATATTTAAGAAAATTCCTAGATAAACTTTGGAACCAAAAACAATGTAGCCTAATAACAATGTCAACTATACTTACAGTATAATTTTATATATAACCTTTTATCTTTATAATAATAAATACTATCACAGCCATTTAGAGAAGGCAATTTTAGTTTACCTCTATTGCTTAAAGGCTTTAGCTATTATTTATGCACAACAAGAATTCTGACTTTTTAAAATTAGTTTTAAAATTTTGGATCAGCTTTATAAAGAAACACATTGTTGTTAAGTGCAGACAAATGAGAACCTTGCCATTTCTGCATTTATGACCAGAAGCCAACAGAGTCAATTTTCATGTTTATTTATTCTTTGCTTTAGAATGTTATGTCAGTTGACAGTATTCAGGGCTTGTGTTGATGTAAATTGCCATAAAGCAAGGAAACACGGGCTATAGTACTGTCAGGGAGGCTCAGCACTGCAGAACAACACAATTTAAGAAAAGCATTTGCAGAAAGATTCAGTGTCAGTCTTCGGAAATTGACTGTAGATGCAAATTGGCATCAACTACTTCACAATCTCCCTCTAACAAAAGAGATGGAAAGGGTGGAATCACCAAACAGAGTGCACTTTTCGGCATAGTAGCTTTCATGAAGACAAAAATAGGATCCCATTTGTTCATTCACAATGGATATTCAGACTCCACATTCTGCCACCCCCATGTTTTATTGGAGCCTGCAATTCTGCCAGGAGAAGGGTTGCCTCATGCTAATTCATCCTAATGTTTCTCCTCCTTCCTACATAGGGGAAGTCTTCCAACCCTTCCTACTTTTTAAGATTAGAAGAAAAGATTCCTCTTAAGCCAACCATCTCTTTGGTTACCTTTCTGTAATGCCTTTATACTGATGAAATGCTGTTATGTTTTACCTAAGTTCGGATATTGTCATTGTCTCCTGCTGACTCAACATGCATTGTAGCCAGGATCCTGGTCTAAATTCCTGTTATACAAAACCCTGAGCTCTTCTAATTTGCTTCTTGAAAAAAAAAAAAAAAAAGAAAATCTGGCCAGGCACAGTGGGTCATGCCTGTGATGCCAGCACTCTGGGAGGCTGAGATGGGTGGATCACTTGAGGCCAGGAGTTCAAAACCAGCCTGGCCAACATGGTGAAACCCCACCGCTACTATAAATACAAAAAAACTAGCCAGGTATATTGGTGCACGTCTGTGATCCCAGCTACTCCGGGAGGCGGAGGTTGCAGTGAGCAGAGATCATGACACTGCACTCCAGCCTGAACAATACAGCGAGACTTTATCTCAAAGAAAAAAATAGTCAGCTCTAGAATTCTTAGGGCATAGAGGCAATGTTAACAAATCAGAAGGTACATTACCATTTTAAAAAATTTTGTCAGGCTTATACTCAGATCTCTTTAAACATTACCTACATTTAAAGAATTATTGTATGTAAGAGATAAACACACAGGAAAAAATATTTGATTTTTGCTTTTGACCTGTGTCATTAAAATAAGATGATTCTCCTTATTTCTCAAGAGGCATTCCAATTTTAAATAGAGTGGTAGGGAAAAAAGTGATTTTAGCAGGGATTTACCTGTTCGTTTGTACTGGTAAGTTATTTTTGTGTTGATAAATTATTTACACTTTAATGGAATTGAGGTGTCATCATCTTCCATTTATATTATTTTGCCTTCCTTTTTCACAAATTTTTTACTATTAAGAAAGCTACAAGAGGTGTTATTTGAGGAAACAGTCCTATAATATCATTCTTTTTTTAAAATTGACAGTTTCCTCAAATATTTATGGGGGAACCTTTCTACTTCTCAAATTTGAACAGACAACTTTAGTCAATGCTTAGCATTGATTTTTTGACAACTCATGTCCATTTCAACATTTTATTGTGAGATAGCTAGGAAATTAGTTGTAAGAGCAGAAAGGTAATTAGGTAGGTGGTATAAAATTTTTGACAGTTTTGACACTACTGATATTTTCAGGAAAAAAAACGCATACATATCCTAGTTTAGAGTAAGTCTAGCTGAAAATTTAAATATATTTTTAACTGAACATAATTTTTGAGTTTGAGATAATTTTAGATATACATATAGTTGTAGGAAATAATACAGAGAGAACCCCTGTACCCTTTGTCCATTTTCCCCAATGGTAACATTCTGCAAAACCATGGAACAGTATCACAAGCAAGATATTGACCTTGATTCAGTCAACATACGGAATATTTTCATCAGCGCAGGAATGTGACTATTAAAAAAAATTTAAATTTTTGAGGATTATTCTACCTCCAAATTCTTTAGTACTAAATATTCTTACATCTAGACAAACTAAAATAGGATTTATAGGAAAAATGATTTGACTAGAGAGTCAATATGCCTGAATTCATATCTCAGCTCTGCCACCATCACTGGTTTAATTACATTTGGGGAGTCACAGCGTGGTGGGGCCTCAATTTATTCTTTTGGAGGGACTTAGTCTAAATCAGTGATTGTCAACTAGAATGAAAGTGAGGGAACTCCTCCCTTGGAGACTTGTCAGAATCTTGGAGGAGACGTTTTGCAGACAAAGCCCAACTCTTTTCCCTCCACACTCCTACCTCCACCACCATCACAAGCAAATTCTGATGTTTGTTCCTAGACTTCTAAGATTTTGACTCCCTCATCTTCCATTGAGGATTGCTTATGGAAACAACGTAATAGATTCCTAGCAAATCTTCATGTATAGTGTGTCAGCAACTAGTCTCAAGTGTCTAACGTTCTTTTCAACTTTAAAATAATAATAAGAAAAAATATCTACCAAGAACACTAAAAATCTTTGTGCTTCACACCATCTAGCTGATGACGCATAAGAGTAGAGGAAAATGTGGTCAATACATGAGCCAAATTCAGAGTGGTGCATGCAGAAGGCTTCCTCCAACAGGGATTTGAGAGAAAGGAGATCTGAGGAAATCCAGTTCCACTAGGGAATGATCCCACAGAAATGGAATCTTCCAGCTTGAGAACCTGAAGAAAGTGACTCACACTACATGAGAATTTGACCCTATCTGATGCTACTTTCAAACATATTTGAGTATTTATAGTTTCTAATTTTTGGAATACGTAGCTTTCTCTATAATTTTGATACCCTATCTCCAGAAAAGATTTATTATAAAGTTAGAGCACAAAGAAAGAAAGATACAGTTGTGTTTTTATCATTACAATTGCTGCCTTAAGCATTTCTTTCTGTGGTCTAGTCTAAGTTATTAAACCTCATTAGTTTTTTACTTCTGGTTAGTGCTGTCTCCTTGATTGTGGCAAATGCAAGTTACCAATATGACTCTTTGCTACTTCTTTCCATAAGAAGACAAAATATATGGCAAAAAGAGAAAAAAACTCTAGGATTCCAAATTATAAGCACTACTCATATTGAAAGTTAGAAAAAGAAAATGAGCCTGAACTGAAAATCAAACAAAAAGACGAGAAAAGGAAATGGAAATAAAGTTTCCCTGTATCCCATTAGGGTTGATACATTAAAGAAAGAGTGAGGATAGCTGGAAATAATATTTTCCTTCAAATGACAGCTAAATGAGATCTTTGGAGCTGTGCCACAATGAGTGAAGTCAGGGAGACAGGGCCGGTAGTGACAGGAGGAGAAAAGTGCTTCTTCATGTGTCAGCCCTGGGTTTAAAATAACTCAGAAGGTATAAAAGAAATTCCCTCCTCAGATACAAGATTATTTGTGGGACACCTGATTACCATTTAAGAGATATCAACAGTTAAAGGAAGGTGATTTAAATCTGGATAGCTCCCTTTTAAATCCAGCCCTCTGATTCTATAAGGCAAATGACAAGGCTGTCTAGACATGGAGTACATTGAGCAAGGTTTAGATGAGGGAGCCCCGGAGACTGTGAGACAGACCTGTTCTGTGCCTGAGAATGTCAGTGATGACTCACAGGAGGTGGAGAAAAGTGTGCTCAATGTATGGGCCAGGCTCAGGGAGCTCCTTGAAGACAGATCATTTGGTATTAATGATACAGCGATACCACAAAGCACAGGAGGTGTAGCCTGCTAGCATTGAAGTTAGGAACTGATTTGAATTAACCCAGTGTTTGAATCTGGATGCAAGAGCCTGTATGGTATCTTGCATGCTAACTTCTTCATAATCTTGTTCCTGAATGGGTGCCAGATTGAGGAGTCTTTGGGATAGTTGATATTTCTTTTAAAAAGCCTGATCTATATAAAGCTGTATCAACCACGTGCAACCACTTTAGCATACCACTCTATATTAATAGAATAGAAAAGATAATTAGCAGAGAAAAAGAGCCAAGGAAAGCTACCAAGAATTAGTGAAATATAAAATGTGTTCTTATTATCCCTTCCTCAATAAAGGGGCAAACAAGGTTGTTCTGGTATCATCTGTGGGAATTTTACACAAACTATTTTAGGAGGAAGGTGGGTGACTAGATGATGGATGGATGGATAGCTGATGGATGGATGGTGGCTGAAGTGGGTATGTGCATTGAAAGAAACTGCAACAGAGCACTATCTTCTGAAGTCACTTGAAGTTATCCCAAAGGTCAGGGGAAGAAAAGGGAAAACCAGAAACCACATATGAAATTAGCAAAGCTGAGCCCGAGTCTGAACGCACTGTGAGGAGGAAGCACCATTAGGGAGGTGATCCATTGCCAGTGGAAAGCCAGAAGCTCAGAACCATTAGCTGAGACCGTGCTCCTCCCAGGCAGGGACCCTCTAGTTGCCTGGGGAGATGATCTGAATTCACATAGGAATGGTCGTTGCCTCTTCCATGAGGATCATGAGAACATCACTAGGTCCAAACCACAAGCTGTTCTTGTAAAAGATAGAGTAAATGGTTACATCAAATATAATCATAACTGTAGTCAACCTGCAGCTCAGAGATATGTAAGAGTACAAGTAAAGCTCTTTATCCACGTGCTGAACATTTTTATTAAAATGTGTGAATGAAAAACTATTTTAAAAAATAGACCAGGCATGATGGCTGATGCCTATAATCCCAGCATTTTCAGAGGCCAAGGTGGGAAGACTGCTTGAGATCAGGAGTTCAAATCCACCCCCATGAGCTAGTCACCTCCCACCAGGTCCCACCTCCAACAATGGGGATTACAATTCAACATGAGATTTGGGTATGGACAAATATCCAAACTATATCAGGTGGTTACTGTAGAGAAGGGGAGAAATGAACTCCCTTAACGTTCCAGCTAGATCTTACAGAAGAAAATAGGAATTAGTTTTGATGGTATACAGAAAGGAAAACCATGTGAAAACAAGGCATAAGGCTACCAATATGTTTAATGAGAATAAAAGGAAGAAAGAATAAGTGACTAACATACGTACGAAACATGCAGCTCTTAGATCCATGTTCCTTCAGTGCTCTTTATACTTTTCATGGCTTTTCCCACGTAAGCCGCTCAACTCACCTAAACTTCTGTGCCCCATAACCAGTTTCCATTAATTGACATTATAACCATCTTTCAAAGCATGGAGCAGATACGGCCCTTTTTCCCAGCTACGAGGATTTGTCAAAAGCAGCTTTTTAAAATGGTTATCTTCGAATGTGCCTAATTTTTCTTATCACACTGTAAACTTTTTAAGTCAAAAATCTTATGATCAAATCATCATTACCATTTATTACTTTTCATCTTCACCTGTCTGCCTCCCCTCTGCTCAACCCCAGCCCCTCATGCAGTACGTGCACAATAAATATTTGTTGAATTATGAATGAATACCTAATATTGACATGCAAGGAGTTTCATGCCTCAGTTAAAACTCCCAGAAAATCTTTTTCCAGTCCCCAGTTAGAGCCAGTGTAATAACAGTGACTTTTTTTCAACAATTACTTAAATAACATTATTAAAGCAATTGTTGCTTTAGGTTGTTCATTAATAAAAATAAATGTATATTTTCTTTACTGTTAGAACAGTTTGATTCTGTATGAATTCCTATTCCTGATTTTATTATACTCCTGAAACCACAGCTTGCTGCTGGTTCATCTATTAGGCATTTGAAATGTTGAATTACTTTGAATTGCATTTGTTCTTATATTGCCTAGGCTCTGGTTGGCCTCCTAGGGTCGTCACACCATAATCTTAAACACAACATGTGCCTTGTGGCCCAGATGTTTTCCAAGAGGGAGTGCTGCAGCCAAGAAAAGCAAGATAGTATCTTGAATACCCAAAGGGGTTGATATGACTAAAAAGCAACCGTACAGCCAACTGTAGAGCTGTCCAAGAAAAAGTGAGCCTATTATTTGTATAGTTTAGGTTTTTGTGATCAAATAGTAAAATTTGCAAAAGTTTCATGATAAGATCTTTTGCTTCACAGATTCTCGTAATATCTGCTTTTGTAGTGTGGACTCCAGTGTTCAGCAGTTTGTAGATAAAACTGGGATCGTGGCAACAATAAGAGAAATCAAAAAAAAAAAAAGGAAGAGTTCATGGACTCTTGTTTCTTCATAAATGTGACATGATAAAAATTACCTTTCTTTCTTAATATTTGAAAATAACATAAAGAATGAACAAAGATTGCTTCTAGAACTAAACTTGGATTGAGGCAACTTAATAAACGGCTGTTTGTTGTTGTTTCTGTTCTTTTCTTCTGACAATATTTACCTTTTATATTCTTGTGGAGAGCTGAGATACCTGCAATTGTGCTTTTAAAAAATTGTTCTGTCTTCTTGCAGTGAGGTCTCTTTTTTGGCTTACTTATTAACAAAGAAGCAAATTACATATATACATATACTTTATGTAACATGTATACACATATGTATATGTAACAATGTAATGCTATGTGTATACATATATGTATGTGTAATATACATATACATATTTATACATATGAAATATAAATATCTATATTTTTATTTCATTTACCTACTAGCTGATTCACATCGTTTTCATAACCAAAATATAGCTCATGGCTTGAGTATGAAACCCTGACAAAGTATGGAATTTCACATACATGTCATGATAATGTCCTAGTCAGATTCAGTCCTACCTCTTGCTTCTGAAAATGTGCTAGCTTCTGTTCTAATCCTAATTGCATGAATTAGTTCATTGTCCAGTTTAGAAGAGAGGAACGAGTAGGAAGCTGCTTTGGTTCTGGGGTCAATCTAGGACTTCAGGTCTATTTTAGGGAAAGCATTCTAGAATGTCCTTGCCCTTCCTGATACACTTTGATATACCTTCAACTTTGAGATCATTGACTTAGTGTTATCTTGAATGAGGGGGTCCAATAGAGCCAGCTACTCCATGCTGATTTAGATCTCAATGCTTTTGAAATTCAAGTTTTTAAAGCACTTGACTCTCTGTTTTCTCCAAATGAAATCCTATTTTGTATTTAAAACAGTAAGACCAGATTTCCCCTTTTGAAGTAATTATAGGATCCCAAGAACCCTTAATTCCACTGGTCCCATGGTCTACTTATCCCCCCGCCCCCCACAGCAAGTCCCTTACCCCTGAGGCAGCTTCAGCGACTCCTCCACTCACCCAGCACTGTAGGAAAATGTCTGCTGTGCTCCAGCCAGAGCAGACCTACTGTATTGCAAATTTATCGTGGCTGGACCATCCTCCAGAGATGTATGCCATAAGGACAATGGAGGCCTCAGCTAAGTACCTCCTGCTGCATTCATTCCCAGGGTAGTAGGTGGTATAGCTGCAAGACACGGAACCCAGTATTAGGCCTTGCTCCATTTTCTCTAGGCTTCAAAGCTCTGAGCCAGTGATAGTTTATAAAAGCCCAGGACTCCAAAGAATTAAAATCAGCACCTGTAGATCTCCTGGTGAAGATAAACTCCATGGGCATGTAAAGAAAGCAATAAAGATACACACATAGTTTTTTTTTTTCTTTTGAATATCAACAGTAACCTTGAGCAGAGTGACTCTTTATCAGGGCTCTTGGTACTTAGGCTGAGCTGGTGATCACAAAGGAAAGAATTAGAAATTTAAGGTGATTTTATTTTATTTTATATTTTTAGTAGGAGTATCTGGCTGCTATCTAAGGAATCTCTTCTATTAGTTACATGGAAACTTGGAGATTTTATTGTTTCCCTCTCAGTGTGTGTGTGTGTGTGTGTGTGTGTGTGTGTGTGTGTGTGTTAGCCATTTATTAATCCTAACTCCCCCAAGAAAAGACAATCTATAAATTTCATTTTCACTCACATTAAAAGGTGAGATGCAGGCTGGGTGCTGTGGATCACACCTGTAAACCTAGCACTTTGTGTTGACTTAGTGTTATCTTGAATGAGGGTGGACAGATCATGAGGTCAGGAGTTCGAGACCAGCCTGGCCAAATGGTGAAACCCTGTCTCTAGTGAAAATACAAAAAATTAGCTGGACATGGTGGCGGGCGCCTGTGATCCCAGCTACTTGGGAGGCAGGAGAATCTCTTGAACCAGGAATGGGAGGTTGCAGTGAGCCGAGATTCTGCCACTGCACTCCAGCCTGGGCAACAGTGCCAGACTCCGTCTCAAAAAACAAAACAAACAAACAAAAATAGGTGAGATGCCAATTCTCTTCCTGACTCTGCACTCCAGTGCAGTGCTCCATTTCCCCTATTGATAATACCACCCCAAACATACCTATTTTTCCAGGACCACATTTCTTCAAATTGCACTAGTCATGCTGTTAAGAAACACAGAATCTAAAAATGATCTGAGAAAAAGAGAATTGCAATTACAACCACAAAATTTTCTATATACTAGTGAATGGATAAAGATATTTATTGTGACACATTGAGCAATTTTTTTGAAAGTTCATGTACTCTTGCTCAACTGATTGAAACTTTGGGAAAATGTAACTTTTTGAGTTGTAAGATCATGTAAAAGTTAAATGAAGGAAGAACAGCAAAGAAGTTATGGGAATTGTTGTTGTGATTAAGTAGTTAAATTTGTATATTTTTTTCCTGCTGATTAGGGAGTTGTTACTGAAATACGTTAGCAGGATCCTTCTTTTAGCTTTTCACATGAATATTTGGGTTGCTTTCTGCCTTGATAATTAAAAGAGAATTGTGTATATCTTGTTTTCCCTAAAGAAAGGTGATACTGACTTTATCATGTCATCATAATCTTCACAGCTAGTAGTGAAATACCTTTATTGAACATCCACCATATATATAAGACTGTTCTAATCTAAACTCAATAAACCTTTAAGGTCTATTTCTTATTCTTCTTACTTTATTTCCATAACTTAATTAGCCTTCAAAGCCCAATTCTAATATGCATAATGACTTGAAGTATTTTCCAAATACAATCAGTGATTTTTTTGTGTGTGCTAAGTGTTCTCAGGACAGGGTCAAAACTACCTATTACATACATTCACCATGAGAATTTAGCACAGTTGGCCTCTGGCAACAGACTCAAAGATTTATTCTGTGTAGCTATTTTCTAGCCTGCTGGATTCCAGCCAGTTGCCTAATGGATCATGAGTGAGTCAGTTTCATTCAGTCTCTTAGCAAAGTCAATTTGTCCAGCAGCACACAATTTTCTGTCATGTAGGGTCTTTGCCTGGCATTGCTGTGACAAACACAATCTAACTGTTTTGCTTCCCTAGATTCCAACTGAGCTTTGGCCCTGGAAGGCTGGCTTAGATAATCAAAGTCCCCTCTAAGGAGGGAAAGATGGTATAATGAAGGCTTCCTGGAAAAATTAGACCCTACAATTTACCCATCTCCAAAAGTGGGTCATGGAACAAAAATATCCATGTATTAAGTTAGATTAATATTTGTGTGTGCAATGAACAACAGCATTTGCCTTTTGATTACTTCGGGCCCAAATGAGCTTTCTCTTTTAAGTAGCAGAAAAATAACAAAAGCAGAGTACACCTGGAAGGGACAGAATAGTCACAGGCCAGTGTTGTAAGAGTCAGTGTGGCACTTCTGAAGGAAATCTGCCGAGTGCATGGGATACTAGAGCACCATGATGGGCAGGAGGAGAAACACCCTCTTTCTCTACCTTCCTTCTCTACCGCCACTCCTTCGAGATGGCCAAGTATGGAATTTCTCTGTCAGGGGTCCTGCCACCTGACATGTGCAGGTCCAGTTAGGTAGTTGAAAAGGACACATTACTACACTTATCAGGGTTCTCACTACAAACAAATTTTCATAGTCCTTCTGGAAATAAGCCACATCACCGAATGCCTTTCCGGTAGCTGACATGATTGATTGTGGACAACGAAGAAGTCACTTATTCCTAAGGAAGAGACTGGAGTGAGGGTTGCTGTTTGCACATACATAAAATCCTAGAAGAGATACCAAAGCTACATTATGCAGAAAGATTATTATTTTAGCCAGTGGCTCTGAGGACAACCTCATTTGTCTTCTCTATGGGTCACTCTTTTTTTTTTTTTTTTTCTTTTGAGACAGAGTCTCGCTCTGTCACCCAGGCTGGAGTGCAGTGGCACAATCTCGGCGCACTGCAACCTCCGCCTTCTGGGTTCACGCCATTCTCCTGCGTCAGCCTCCCAAGTAGCTGGGACTACAGGTGCCTGCCACCACACTGGCTAATTTTTTCTATTTTTAGTACAGATGAGGTTTCACATGTTAGCCAGGATGGTCTTGATCTCCTGACCTTGTGATCCGCCCACCTCGGCCTCCCAAAGTGCTGGGATTACAGGCGTGAGCCACCACACCCGGCCAGGTCACTCATTTTTTAAGTGAATATTTTCATTTCCAAAAAAAAAAAAAAAAGCCTCATGTTTCCAAAGTGGCATAAAAGGCCCTGGCATGTAGAGTGTAGAACAGAGGCTCCTCCTTTTTAGCCAGTCTCTATTTCAGAAATCATTAGATAGAACATACTTGGTCTGAAAAAAAACTATGAAATTTTGATCCCCCTTGGAGAAAATGTACTTTAATGTGTATATTAGTTTTCATTTCCTTCCTCTGATACAGTAAAGTCAAAATTTTGCGAACCATTGTGAAATAAGGAGATATGACCCCATAAACACAAACAATTTTCGTTCCCTTGTTCCTACATATGTTTGTTAGGAGTACATAAAAGACAAGTTAGCTCTATAGACCCTCTAATTTTGAGAAAGAGAAGCACAGCATTTTCCTCTTTGATTCTGTTTTGAAAGAGTGCACATAATGATGCATACCTCATGCTTGTCTGCCTTCCCCTGGACTTTAATTTCTTCCTGTCCAGCCAAAGGAGAAGGTTTTTGGCTTGGTTTCAGCTGTGCTTCCATAGCTGCTACACATCAAACCTATCCTACCAGGTAGAGACTAGTGTATTCTTTTCACTGAGGGTAGATGGTCTTCTAACTTTAATCTTCCATTCTGCCTGTCACGTCTAGAATCTATCTGGTTAAAACTCACGTTTTAAAAATGCATGTCCTAAATTGTATCCAACACTTGTTAGTATCAATTATTATCATAATTTAAAGCCTAGATTGCAGATGTTCATCGTAATACTTTGCCAATATTCTTATGACTGTTTCTTTTTTCCCATAGATAAGTGTTCCAATTTAAGTGTGTTTTCCTTTCCAGAATGTTCTGTATGTAACTCTTCTGACATTTCAGAGATTGTGTTATTACTAATATTTAGTCTCGTGAGGTGCTTCATTTTTTAAAGTATTCTTTATTGTGTTTTTTCTTCATGACCCATCATGGTGCTCGATCAGTTCCTTGTTTTTTCTTTTGAGCATGACTAATAATAATAAAGTCTGAGCTCTGGTCTCATATCACATATTTTAATTGTATAAAACAACTATGAAGACCCACACTGACAAGATCCTGAGCCTAAATAAAATTAGGTCATGTCTAAAAGATATTGTCCTTTGAATTAAGCAGAACGTGTGGGTGTGTGCACATGTGTGAGAGAGAGGGAGAGTTTGCTCACACACAGCCTTGACACTGATAATATTTTCCCAGACAGCTTCTACTCAGTGACTTTGTAGTAAAATCAAAGGAGCTTTAGTGTGTACTCATTTTACAGATTAGAATAGTAGAGCCCAGAGAGAGTAAGTTATTTGCCTGAAATCCCACAGCGAGGGTCCACGGGAGCTAGGACTCTGGCTTTCAGGACCCTCCTTGTTCAGTCCTCTTTACTTTGAGTCAACTCTGACGGGACCTGGCATGGTGCCCTGCAATTACTGATGATGCGAAAGGTGAGAGCGGATGAAATTTTAGCACACTGATCAATCTTGAGATACTAAAATATACCAGCAAAGTTGTGAACTCGAAAATTACTAAACAGGCTGGGCATGGTGGCTCATGCCTGTAATCTCAGCACTTTGGGAGGTCGAGGAATGAGATTGCTTGAGCCCAGGAGTTTGAGATCATCCTAGGCAACAAGAACAACAACAAAAAACAATTAGTTGGGGATGGTGGCGCATATCTGTAATCCCAGCTACTGAGGAGGCTGAGGCAGAAGAATCGCTTGGACCTGGGAGTTCAAGGCTGCAGTGAGCTATGATGGTGCCACTGCACTCCAGCATGGGTGACAGAGTGAGACCCTCTCTCAGAAAAAAGAAGGAAAGAAAGAGAGAGAGGGTGAGAGAGAGAGAGAGGAAGGAAGGAAGGAGAAAAGAAAAGAAAAGAAAAAAAGAAAAAGACTGAACAAAACTTGAGAAAAGCAATGTACCCTTATCACAGTTTTATGGGAAAGTACACAAATGAGTAAAATGCAAAATAATGGCATTTTCTGTACTGAGAACAGAGATACCACAGAGCAATCGAGGAAGAATTAGTTATACTGTTCTCTGTTGGATTACAAAGCAGAATTCTGAAAAGCACACGTTGTTTGACACGCAGTGTGAAGTTGCTTGACGTTCACTGTGATGTTGGCTGGGACACTGTGCCGGGTATGTGTGGGTCTACAGATTCATCAAATGGCACATGGTCAGAACGACCTTCTTTTTGCTAATGTCATTAAGTGCCATCTATTAAAAATCAGGTGCTTACAAATGAGAGTATTTAAAGAATCAGAGGGAGCAAGGTATTATGTGTCCCCTTGTTATCAAACTATATTATCCAAATAAGGATATGATATAATCAAGCCAATTCTAAACAGTCCAAAGGCAAAACAAAAGAATGTGCCCAGTGCTTTCAGCCAGTGTCTGGATGCTAAAAATCAGACTGACTAGTCAATGAAAGCGACCACAAAATTAGATGATTTTGACCCAAAAGAATGCCTTGGCCTCCCTTCCCAGAGTGTTTGCCAGTTTTCCATGTCTGCTCTTCCCCTCTTCACCCCCAGCCCCAGGTGGAAATGAAGATGGTTTTCCATTTTGTTTTGAAGAGAGAGCTTCATGTCACTGATCTATAATGTGAAGGAAAATATCTTCATCAAAACCAACATTCTTAGGAATACATAGAAAATAAAAAGACTACTCATGTCTTAGAAAAGTTTTCCCAAAAGTTGGATCATGTTGGATAATGTTATGATCCTTTTCACTTTCAAAGTTCCCTAGTTCCCTTAGAGAGGGGAAAATTATATTACTGGTAGAAATCAACATTTCCTTTTCTTTAGTGAAAAAAATAACACAGCACTCTTTAATTGAAACCTGTGTATCTTTGCCCTCCCCACTTTCTGCCTTTGCTTTTTCATTCACATTTAACTCCTGCAGCAACAATAACCTCTGGGCTGTTCTGCATTAGAGAGAACTCAAGAGCCCTGGAAATTATAATTTCAGAAGTATTGATAATATTAAACAACATCAAAAATTTTTACCACTTTTGCCTGCCCTTCTTACTTTTTTCACAAGTTAATTGAAGATGGAAGGCAGTAAAGCCTCGTGATTCTTTTTCAAAAAGGTTAAAATACAATATAATCTATCTTTTTTTTTTTTTTTTTTTTTTGACACAGAGTCGTGCTCTTGTTGCCCAGGCTGGAGTGCAATGGCGCAATCTTGACTCACTACAACCTCCGCCTCCCAGGCTCAAGCAATTCTCCTGCCTCAGCCTCCAAGTAGCTGGGATTACAGGCGTGCGCCACCGCACCCAGCTAAGTTTTGTGTTTTTAGTAGAGACGGGGTTTTACCCTGTTGCCAAGGCTGATCTCAAAACTCTTGACATCAGGTGATCCACCCACCTCGACTTCCCAAAGTGCTGGGATTACAGGCGTGAGCCACCGCGCCTGGCCAAAGTAATCTATCTTTAAAGATGGTCTGCTATCCTTAATTGTGTATTTGGTATAGGTTAATAGAGTGAAAGTCCTGTAAGCTATAGGATTAGATGGACGTTGCCTGCAATTCAATTCCATCTGTAGAGCAGATTTCATTGTCACATTAAACATTAGAACTTAAGAAACAAGTTCTTCAGAGAAGTGGATTGAGAAAGATTGAAGTAGTATTGTGTGAGCTGAGCTTGAGTCAGCTATTCTGTTGGAGAATCCCTAGGTTACATCAGAGAAGATAGCCGTGGGCTAGTCACCTCTATGAGCTTTGTCATGGCTATAATTTTCATCACCAGTCAGTCCTTCAAATAGATATTTCTTAGAGATGCATGGGTAATTAGAGAAACTCTCAATTCAGTTATTAAATTTTTCCTACTCATATCCAGAGTTAACTGCTCATTTTTAGCTTGAACAAATTAGAGGATTGCTTAGTGCTGAATACTTGTCTCTTTGTTCTATAAGCTTGACAGAGCTTTCTTATTGCCTATATGATAATGTTGGACCATCTTCAAGTGTCTACAGTCTTTCCTGGGGCTGGTATGGTGCTCCAGCATAAATGCATAAATGTGTAATGCAGTGGAATTTCAACTCAGTGATAAAATTCTCTAAAAGAGAGAACTAATTAATTTTAGAGCCAGAAAGAGGCCTATATCCAACCTATTTATGTATGTGCTAGAGCTGGTTACTACAGAGCAAATTAGAGACCAATAAAAAGACATGGTGATCACTTCAAATTGAACTGTCTTAACAGAAATAAATTGCAGAAGCAGATAAGATTTTCACAAATCAGTGCAGTATGGCCCTGTTACTTTTTATAGCATCTGGATTATGGCTTAGACTTATTAAGAATTAGAAAAACAAATTTCAGTGCCATCACTGATACCTCAATATAATATGGGACAAGCTGTTAGACATCAATATGCTGAAAAATGGCCAGGCATGGTGGTTCACGCCTGTAATCCCAGCACTTTGGGAGGCCAAGGCAGGCAGATCACGAGGTCAAGAGATCGTGACCATCCTGGCCAACATGGTGAAATCTCATCTCTACTAAAAATACAAAAATTAGCTGAGCATGGTGGCACATGCCTGTAGTCCCAGCTACTCGGGAGGCTGAGGCAGGAGAATCACTTGAACCCAGGAGGCAGAGGTTGCAGTGAGCCGAGATTGCACCAATGCCCTCCAGCCTGATGACAGCGAGACTCCATCTCAAAAAAAAAAAAAATATATGAAAAGGTAACAGCAATTTTCAGTGAGTAAGCATATAAGTAAAGGATAAGGAGAGAATTGCCTCTTTTCTGTCGCATTCAAGGAACAGCTGGAAAATGGAAGAAACATAGAAGGAGAGAAACATCAAGAAATACGTATTAGTCATTCCACTGTAGGAAAAGTTCATTACAGGAGAGTCATGCAGGCAGACAGGGTCTTCTTAGTATCAAGGACTGATTTTGATAATGTGCCCACATTTCAGCGAGGGCGTTTTAAGACATAAGCACAGCATTAAGGTGTTTCAATAGCAGACATACCTGTCTTTATTGCAGTGGGGAGAAAGCCCAGGCTCATGAAAGAGGCGTGAGCATTCACGGGAAGGAAGAAAGACCAAATAAAGGCCTAGGAGGAGGTGAGCCGGGGAACTGTACAAGGGAGCAAAGGCCCCTTCTTCAGATGAGTTCAGGATGGCCTTAGCACCAGTGCTTGGGGAAGAATGGCTCACATCCTCTATGGCTTACCCTCTTCTTCCAAGGCTAATTTTGGAGGCTTTCTAGTCTTTCTTTTGGGATCAAATATATCATGAAATTGAAACAATAAAACCACCCCCCATAGAGCTGTTACTTGGTTTTCACTTTTCATATAATATTAAAATCTCAGGACTAGGAGCGATTTCCAGAAGCTATTAAGTCTAACCACTACCTCCAGACAGAACTTCACCTAGATAGACTAAGGGAATGTATTCCTTATTGAAAATATATTCCACCTCATTCATTTACAAATAAGGTGTAAACCTTCCTGGAAAAAAATTCACAAGTGCCATTATAAATGCTTCTATGGATAAAGACCTTAAAGCTAACCCAAAGTTATTTTGCCACATATACTTAGGTGTCTTAAATAAATAATATGCATTCTCTCGATTCCATCCTTGTGAATTTGCATTTGGGTTCCCACTTCTTCAAAAGAGAGTGTGTTTGTTCCATGGCCAATTAGTTTGATAGTACATATAAGTAATTTTGCATGGATAAAAACTAACCATGCAACTTTAACTCTGCCTTTAATTAAGTAATCATTAAAAATGAAACTTGTCTACTTCCTCCTGTTCTGTAGTTGACGGTGATTGAGGGGCTTGGTATGGCTGTAGTGGCACAAAAATGGAAATCAGTAAATTAGAGCAGTTGTCAGACCCAGATTCTGATTAGCTAAACAGCTTGCCTGGGTTAGTGATTAATGCAGTTGTAGGGAATGAAATCTGCTTTCCTAGAAAAGTCAATAGAGAACGTTTAATGAAGTAGAATTATGTGACAGTTGTCCAGTTGTGTGAACCATCTTTGAACTTAGTCAAATGCAGATGTAATTTTATATTAAGACTTTAAAAGAATGGAAAAATGGCTTCAAACATAGGAGAACAAAATTTTCTGCTTTCTTTGTTTACTTCTTATTTTATGTCACCCCATAAATGTGATTGGTACGGCTTTTGAGATTATTGGTTTAGAATTTCTTACCCTTTGTTGTCTTGAGCCATCTTTTCTCTAGAAACATGCTAATATTACAGATGGTTCAAATGTTCCTATAATGTCAATGTGTAAATCCATATTGAGCAATGTAGAGGTCCGGCTGTGAATAGGACAAAGAAAAAATTAAGAAAATATTTAAATGTACATACCTCCTTTTCTAGGATTTAATAACTCGAATTATTTATAAAATGTTATTGACAACTTTATTAAAAGTATAAGTTACACGTTATAAGATTCACACTTCAAAGTGTACGATTCAGTGTTTTTAGTAAAGTCACAATGTTGTACAACTCATTACCACTATCTAACTCCAGGATATTTTCCTCATTCCAAAAACAAACCTCATACCCATTAGCAGACCCCCTCCCATTTCCTCTTTCCACCCTTTCCCCAGCTATTCAAGTTATTTTTTAAGCAGATGTTCTGATTAAAACTCTGTATCTGTCTTTGGTGCTTTAGCTAGCAAAAAAATAATGAATATAAAACAATTGCCTCCCCATATATATTGGTATATATAATTTATTAGAATGTTTTTCTTTTCACTTTTAATGAAATAATAATGAAATTTCAATATGTATAACTGGTGAAATAATTTTGGCAATACTGTGAGTGAAATGATAGGGCAAAAATGAATGCTTTTATTTAACTCACAATTGATATAAACAAAAAAATCAAATGATCCAGTCAGGTCGAGGGTAAATTCTCTTAAGGAAATAACAGGTAAATACTTTTCCTTGAGTGTAAAGACACTTATGTGTATTTATTAACACATACATAGAATTTAGATAAGAATTATCTTTAAAAATATGCATCCTTTTAAATTTATTCAACTAGTATTATCTTTTCACTACAAACACAATAAATCCTGGTTTTGCTTGCCTCCACTAGTCGATATCTTGAGTTAATCTTGCACATCAGCTGAAAGAATAGAGTTAAAGTTTGTATCTATGAATAGAAGGACTTGATAAACTATTTGATAATGTAAATAAGAGTAGAAAGGGAATATGTAGTGTATTATGCTAAGATAGTATATGTAATTCATGTGAGTGAGCACACTGATACATTTTAAGATAAGCAAGTGCCAGATTAATGCATATTCTTGCCCTGATTCCTTTTCATCCCCTTTCCCTTCATTTCCTCCCCTTTCCCATCCTCTTCCCTTTAGACCCTTGTCACACTGACCTGCATTCACTTACTGGAACTGGCTATGTCCCCTCCTGCCTCTGGGTCTTCAAGCAAGGCCTCTCCTCTGCATGTCTTAACCCAATCCGCACACCTCCCACACCATGCTGGCCCTTTGCTTACTTAAATTAACTTATCATCCTTCAAATTTCAACTCAGTAGTACTTCCCCTAGAAGCCTTTTGGAACTTTCCAGAAGTCGGGTCCTGTTCATGTTCTCAGAGCACCCTGATTTTTTGGAAGTAACATTCATGCTTCTATCCTCATCTTCTCTATTTTCAAAGAAGAATCAAAGAATGTATGTATATTCTAATATATATTGTGTAAGTATACTAATGATTCAATATCTTTTTAGAAAATCTGCAATTTTGGACTTTTTAGTAAGTCAGACATCTTTTGCTTCTGAGAAATCTGAACTATTTTATTTTGTTATGACTGTGACATTCATTCCATGTGTTGAAATCAAGACACAAGAATGCAAGAAATGACGACTTGCCAGTAAATGCCCAGTTTTCACTATTAAAAAAAGCCTGGCATTGCTCTCCCAGAAGAATAACAACTCAGTGATAGAGGGGCGTAAAGACCATGGGGCCAGCATATTTGAAGGTGATTTTTAAATATTAACTGTTGTGGTCTTCAATGTGAGTAAGCCTGCATTTTTCAAAAGGTTTCATATCTTACAAACTCCTGATTTCTCCCTTTATTAAAATCTATTTTGAAGTAGGCCAAGCTGTCAACTAAAGTGAATGTTTTCAACTAAAAGATGATTCACTTTCTAACTTGACAAAAATAAATGGAGAAAATTATAGATTATAGATCAATTATCACTTTCTAATTTATCTCTATGATTTCACCCTGATTTATTCCATGAACAATTTAAGGTATTTTAACTATCTGACATTCATTTAGTTGAACAAAAAGAAAACGTGAAACCTTGGTAAATAAGGGACCCCCTTAAACTGAAACTTTCCTAAGTACATTTGAAAGTCCATAAACTGACAATGGATACCAAGATCATGAGATCACAAATGTGACTTTTCCTTAAGATTTCATCACAAGATAAATCAAAGTGCTAGGAATTGTATTTTCCCTTTTCCTAGTAATCAAGTATCCTTCTCAGATGACTCTTTTTGTAAAAGTAACAACTTCTCATCTTTGAGACTTGACTCACATACCAAATATCAAAAATGGAAAATCTTTGAATTCTTTTTCCTGTTGTGGGAATACGAGTCATTTATAACAACAAAAAAAATCGATAGGAAATGGATGTTTTAGGGAAGTGTATCCTGAGTGCTGTCTTTAAGGCATTGATTGGAGACTGCCCACATCTAAAAAATGACTCTAGGACATCACTCTCATGTATTTCCGTGAAAAAGCTGGTGGAAAAATGTGTTTTCTTCTAAAAGGCTATGTGTGGGACGTGTGTCAGTGTTCACATGTGCCTAATAGGCATACGTAAAATCACACTTGTATGAAAATCAAGTAAATCTGCTGAAATAAACAGCAACCCATGTTTGGGCATTTGTGTTGGTAGAGATTGGCTTTTAAAGGAGAATGGATTAATATATGATTCTCTTGTCGGTATTACTATGAATTGTTCTTTTTTGAGGAGGAGTCTCGCCTTGTGGCCCAGGCTGGAGTGCAGTGGTGCAGTCTTGGCTAACTACCACCTCCTCCTCCTGGGTTCAAGCGATTCTCCTGCCTCAGCCTGCTGAGTAGCTGGGATTACAGGCACATACAATCCACACCCGGTTAACTTTTGTATTTTTAGTAGAGAAGGGTTTCGCTCTGTTGGCCAGGCTGGTCTCTAATTCCTGACCTGATCTGCCTTCCTCGGCCTCCCAAAGTGCTGGGATTACAGGTGTGAGCCACCATGCCAGGCCTGAATTTTCACTTGCAAAATTATCAGTCAGTTCTTAAAACTTGAGGAAGGGAGGAGTCAAGAAAATGAGGTGAATGAGAAGGCTGTTTAGACTGTTTTTATTGTCTTACAGTCCCATTTTTGTCTTTCACTCTTCCTTCTCTCTAATGGCTGGGTTTTCAACAATAATACAGGCAAGCATAAAAGTTAGCAAATGAGGGCTAACCTAGAATTGCAAATTTGATTGGGTTTCATGTTGGTTTTCCTTAAATAAATCAACAGTTTTAACAGGGTGGCATTTAATTATATTTGTTTACAGAAATATTTTTATATTTGAATTTCTTTCATAACAGTGTTTATTGTGGTCAAAGGATGGGAGGGATGAGGAAATAATATTTGAAGACCACAGGGGCATTCCTCACCTCTGTAGTCTTATTATCTGGCCTTGAAACACTACGACATTCTTTAACTGAATTTATTAGGGGCTGAATACCAACAACATAAGTCAGAAAAGGGTTTACATTGACCCCTTTGGATTCTAAATATTGTAATAAATATTATTAGTTCCGAAATATCATATCTGTTTGATTTCCCAAATGATTGCAGAAATGCTTTGATCTTTTTAGTCCTATGATATTGTAGAGATATCTCACTAATGATGTTTTTTTTTTTTTTTTGAGATGGAGTCTCGCTGTGTCGCTCAGGCTGGAGTGCAGTGAGCCATGTTTGTGCCACTGCACTGTAGCCTGGGTGACAGAGCGAGACCCTGTCTACAAAAAAAAAAGAAAAGAAAAGAAAAGAAAAAAAGAAATGTAATTCACTTTCTTCTGGTCAGCAGCTGACAGGATAGAACACATTGGACTAGAAACCTGTTGTATTCTTACTTTTACCCATGACATGGCTTCTTTTAGAATACAAACTGTTTAGAACTAAGACAGGAAAATTTAACAAAGCATTAGATATAAAAATGTTCACAACATGTATGGTCTATTCTTTAATTTGAGAATATTTTAAGAAAATTTGTGGTTGAAAGCTATTGCTGTCATTGAGGTGGTGTTACAACACAATCGATCTTTGAAAAAGTATTGGCTTCACCAGGGAAACACTAGACCTCTACCCCAGTGACTCCTGCTAAAGAGGTCTTTGCCATCGCTGCCCTTTCTGATACCTTTGTGTGTGCTCAGATTGGCACACTGATTAATTTCAGATACCATCAGCAAAAATGGAATATGCTGAACAAGCACTTACAAAGTAGTGGTTCTTCATAGAACAGAGTTGTAGCCCTTCAGTAACAAAGAATGAGTCAGAGGAAATGAGTTAATTTAACAAATTGCTAGTTGCCTACCAGATATCATAGCAAGGAATGATATATGCAAGGTGTGTTAAAGGCAATGTTTCCTTAATTTCTTCTTTCTATCTCCCATCTCCCAATGTCCTCTGGGGAGGCCGTAGAGGTGGGAGGGACATATTAAGTAAAAAGTGTGACCACTTGCTGAGTAATTTTTAGTGATTTGTTGAGCTGGATTAAGTGAATTTAGAGTTGAATCTTCAAAATGATCATTTCCTTTTTTTAAGAGTTTATATTCTGGATATTTTCATTTGAAGAGCAGTGATAGTATCCGGCTAAGGTTTACTAAATTGTTCAAGTGAGTTTGCAGAAGACTAAGTGAAACAACTTCTGTATAATGAACTGGAAGATTAATCTGCATATCACATAAGCAAATAAAAAACAAGCAATCATATATTTTATAATGGAACAACCGTAAGATAAACAAACAAAAGGCATAGTTAAAAATCTGTATGAAAAAGCAAATTCTTGGTTTCCCAAGAATCCTTGGTTTCCCAAGGCTCAAGAATTTTATGATTTGAGAAAAATACTTAAGTGTTGCCTGCACTTCTGTGCAATAAATCTCATTATTTCATACTTTATTGCCACTACTGTCATGAAATTAATGGATCACATTTAAGTATTCCTTCTTGGAAAAATATCACTAAAATGTAATGTTCCTCAAGTCATAGTGCAAACAAAATTATATTTATCATTTACAGACAGGTTTTATTGGTCCTGGTGCATTCATCTGCTGATGGCCAATAAAAGCTATACAAAGTCTCATCAATGAAATTAGTAATCTGTGGGGACAAACATGCCATTAGTGCCTGTCATTCGAGATTTGTGATCATTGACGTGCTTTTTATGGCATCTGAAAATATTAGTTTGACTTTAAAAAATGTAGAGTTGTTTCTATTGTTGGATATATTTATAAAATTCTGAACATAAAAATGCTCTTTGGTAGCCACTTGAATTTTTAAAACTATATTTAATAAAATACAGCTTTTAGGAATAGCAATCAGCATGGGATAGGTGACAATGAATTTTTTTTTTTTTTTTTTGAGACGGAGTCTCGCTGTGTCGCCCAGGCTGGAGTGCAGTGGCGAGATCTCGCTCACTGCAAGCTCCACCTCCCGGGTTCACACCTTTCTCCTGCCTCAGCCTCCCGAATAGCTGGGACTACAGGCTCCAGCCACCACACCCGGGTAATTTTTTGTATTTTTAGTAGAGATGGGGTTTCACCATGTTAGCCAGGATGGTCTTGATCTCCTGACCTTGTGATCTGCCCGCCTCGGCCTCCCAAAGTGCTGAGATTACAGGCGTGAGCCACCGCGCCCGGCCAAGTGACAATGTATTTTAAGTAGCCTCTGCTATCCTTGACGAAATGTGCTAAAGTGGCAAAATGTTTGCTTTAGAGATGTACAAAAGTAGAAAATTTGTGAAGGACATTAGGTGTTTCTCCACTTTGAGAGGGGATCTCCTCTTGATCTACTCTTTATTTCCCATCCCAGAGTGAACAAGGTACTAGTTGATGAATTCGAATCAGGATACTTGAAATTAAGACTTAGATGTAGCACTTTGTGATCTGTAAAAATCATATCAGATCTTAAATATGAAAATGTTTGAGTTTAGCCAAAATCACCAGCATCATTGGTGTATATCAAGTTTAATCCTATCCTTGGAATAATAGAACTTCAAGGTTGGAAGATGAATCTTGAATAGTTTGAAGTTAAACCCTACCTGCCGTTGCAATGAGTCCCATTGAAAAACATTTCCTACATGTCCTCGACAAGTCTTTGCTTTCTTTAGTTACAAGGAATTGCCCAACCTACCAAGGCTTCCCCATTTTATCTTTGACTATTTCTATAAATTTCTTTTTAAAAATTGTGGCCATATTTTAAGACACAGAGGGAGGGTAGACACCTAGATCTAAAGGATATTAATCTACTTAAGAGGAATTTGCTTATGGAAAGATGATCTAGCAAATGAGATAAACTGGACTGATAAAAATTATCCAAACTCAGGTTTAGATGCCTATAGCAGTTTCACAAAAACTAAATCTTTGTCTCTAATGGATCTGAGCTGATAGCAGTGTAGTAGAGACCAAAGGTCTGTGACTGTCGTGGAGAAGCCCCTTTTGGATGAAGCTTTACGGAGGATTTTCAAATGTTAATTATATTTACAAACAGATCAGATGTAGGCATAGATATATTAGAATACTTTATATCTTCTCTCATTTATTTTTCTACTGCTAGATAAATGGGACTTATAAGTAGCTGAGTAGGCAAACAAGAAAGAATGCATACAGTTTTATCAATTTATCTGAGATTTTGTGATAAGCTACAGACCAAGTCAAATGGACTAGTTTTGGCAGGGGCTTGCTGTCCATATGATGGTCAGTTAGCTTTTTTCTGAGTTAAACTTGAAAACTAAGAACTTTAAGAAGTGCATGGGTATATATAGGTGTGTGTGTGTGTGTGTGTTTGTGTGTAATTTTACAAGACTGTAGAATTATAAAATGACATTTGTTTTAAGGAATATTTGATTGACAGTTTCACTTACCAACGTTAGCCTCTAATTATGACACTGAGGATACCCAAATTTAAAAATTTCCTTTATAATGGTCCCTGAGACCTGGTGATTGAGGTCATAAAAAAGGAATGGTAGTTTTCTTTCAGAATTTTAAATTTTCTCAAATAATATTTCACCAAATATTAGCCACACTTGTATACTTTGACTCTGTTGGTCGTTAAAATGTATAGTCATAATTACTCCTATGGAATAGGGATTTCAATAGAAAGAAAGCTTTAGAAATGAATCTTCTTTGCAGATAAATGCTATTTAATTTTCAGAGTTAATATAATTCAAATTATTTAGAAGTTTACAAGATTCTATTATAAAGCCAGTTTATTTATTTTTTTAATTCCATTATCATCTGAATATTCTAAAAAATGTAAAAAGAAATCTATTTGTAGAGAAAACAATGCCTTTTAAAGAAAAATGTATTTTGTGCTGGGCTGCAGTCTTATTCATCACTTGATAAATGATGCTTTTAATTCAGATAATTAGAGTAATTTGTAACAAATTATTAGATATAGCAGACTTGCCATTCCATTTCTATAAAATAAAAATACATTGTAATGTTTACATTGATGAGTAATAATAACAACACCTTAGTAGTTGTAACAATATATGACCTAAAATCAGTGGTAATAATGTCCTATGATAAGAAGATTGTACAAACTTAAAAGCTAGATTTTCTTTCAAATCTTTTGTCATACTCCTGAGAGAAAGATATGAGGGGAAAAAAGTCACTATAGCAAAATGCCTTCTCAGAACTGTTTCAGAGCAATTGAGGGGAGAAGGAAAGAATCAGTCAGAGATTGTTTCAAATTTAATATGAAATAAACTGTTACCTTTAACTATTCAGCAATGACACAGTTATATTTCATTCCAAAGGTGTTTACAATCATATGAGTGGGTTTCTGTATTCAATGTTACAATAAGTCAACTTGGAATTTCCCATTAAATATGATATTAATAAAAGATTTAGGTACAGTCCCCTGGTGTGTTTGAAGCTGTGCACTCTGCAAACACATAAATAAAAATATATCTAATTGGTTTGTGGCATTTTGAGATTTTTTTTTTCAGAAGGAATGTACTTAAAAAAATTAAATTACTGCAGTTTTCTTTCAGAAAATTGGGCTTTTGTATTAAATAATGCTAGTCCAAACTTAAAAATAAGAATATTTAAGCCTGGTAAGCATCTTTGTTCTCTCAATAAAAAGAAAAAAATTAGAGACTCTCTTTCTCCCTGGCCTCATACCCCCATCATCTTCTGAAGTTATATGTATATGAAGTATTTTTTTTAATCTACAGGGATACCTTTTAAATAAAATATTCCTTTATTATCATAAATAATCTGTAAAACAAAATAATAGTGGCAGTATTTGTAATAAAGTCCTAAAAGTTAAATCATCCTTATTATACTTAACATAATCCAAAAGACTCCTAATTAAGTTTTCCTTTCCTAACTTATATTATCTTATGATGATCTACAATAATTTTGATGATGTTCTCAAATGTTCTTATATCTGCTTCTGAAATAGTTAAACAGATTATTGAAAAAGACCTCTGAAACAAAGCAAATAAAATAATGCATAGAAGGAAACAGCTTTTAGTCTTATCTCTAATGGAATCATGTTATTGAGTTTTCTAAATTATGGAAGATGTCAAAGGTCATTTAGAGCTAGACTTCATGTGAAGAATTCTTAACTTGAATTGGCTTCAGAAAAAGAGGTCCATGAAACTCCAAAATTGTATGCTTGGTTTTTATTTGTACATGTAAACAAAAATTGATAGCTTTCCCCAAATTCTGAAAGGAGTCCTTAGCTCTCAAAATACTGAGAACCTCCATTGAATAAGACATTTGAGTAGGGACTTTGTGGTCAGAGATCTGAGTTTGAATCCCAGCTCTGCTATTTTCCACCTGTAGGGTCTTGGCAAACTCCTAATCTGTCTGAGATATTGTTTACTTTCTAATAAGTGCAGGTAAATAATACAGAATTTACAGGTTATTGTGAGAGCCTATGAGATCATGTGTATTTTTGCCCTGGCATGTTGAAGTCACACAATAATTCTTTCCTTTCTCTCGGTTTCTCTCTTTTAAGATGACAGGAATGGTTAGCTAAAGCAACTGAGTGTTAACATGAGGGTTCCTGCTCTATTGCTTGTTATCACACATGGGTACATATAACAGTGACTGCCTATAGGAAGAAGTCATTACCCCGGGACAGCTTTCACTGGTGGATTTTTATGATGGAAAGCAACCGCATTAACTGCAATATGGCCCAGGGTGACACTTGACATCTGTATGTTTTATTTTTATTAAAAAAGTAATTTAAATTATTGCCTTTTCTTTTTATTATGGAAGAAAATGTAAGAATGTTGACTGTTCACTAAGCCGAAGATTCCCTTTTTGCTTTCAAAGCTTTTCTCAAGGACATTAAACACTCTTCCTAATTACTTTTTATTGATTTCTTGACATTTCTACTCAACATTGACTGCTTATTTTTAGGAAACAAAGAAGCCTAAGTGAAAAATGTTAATGGTGCATTTGAAACTACAAAGTTCAATATTTTAGTCACGCCTCTTATATGTAATTGTAGGTAAAAACTATATAATATTTTTGCCATGTGCCTCAGCTCTCTTATCACCGAAGTAAATAGAAAATTCTGTGATTCTCAGATTTCTTCCATAGCTTTAACTTATTTTGAACAAATCTGTGACTTACCTTGCTATATTTCAAATTTTATTTTATTATTATTCATTTTTATTTTTATTTTTTTGAAACAGGGCCTCACTCCATTGCCCCAGCTGGAGTACAGTGGCATGAACTACAGCCTCAATTTCCTGGGCTCAAATGATCCTCCCACCTCAGCCTCTCAAGTGGCTGGGACTATGGGCCCATACCACCATGCCCGGCTAATTTTTAAATTGTTTTATTTGTAGAGATGGGGTCTGGTACTACTATGTTGCCCAGGCTGGTCTCGAACTCCTAGGCTCAAGCAATCCTCCTGCCTCAGCCTCCCAAAGTGCTGGGATAATAGGTGTGAGCCAATGAGCCTGGCATATTTTATTATATATATATTTTTTGTCTCAAGAGGTTCTGAGAACATGTGTGCCTGTATTTCAAATTTTAAATGAGTGAAGATAAGGCTTGGCATAGTCAATTGAATAAAATTTAGTAAAAAATCAACGGAATACTGAAGAGACTGATGAAAATTACACAAATTAACTCACATTTTACATTGTTCTTCCAATTTTGCAGTTATTTGCCATTAGTAAACACTTTAAATATGTCTGCCACTCTGATTTTTAGCATTATTTTTGTTAGGAGTAACTATGTAAAGCAAGTCTGATTAGATGATCCTCATATGTAATTTAACCAAACGAAAGATGTCTTATGTTAACTATTTAGAACAGCCCATTTATTTAAATGTTGCTCATTTAAATTACTTGACAGTCAGGAATTAACTTTTAATTAAGGAGTGCTACCATCAGACCTATTTTTAAGAGTTTCTTGTGTGTGATTTGCATGTTATATACAAATGAGGTTAAAGAAAATTACAAGTCAACAAAATGAACCTAACATCAAATGTCCCTGGAGATAATTTTTTTATTTTATGTAATTTATCTGCATCTCTTATAGAAATACTTTTTTTGTCTTTTCTCCCTATCTCTTTGTTGTGTACAATCAGCTTTTAAAGGATCCAGTGGTATTAATTTTGCATTGCGGTCAATCAGAGATCTTATGCAAATATTAAATATTGCACAGGCATCATAACTAAATTTAGCATTTCATTTGGAATAGTTCCTTGTGCCATAACTCCCTGATGGTGTTTATAACTCAGCATATTTATATTTGTATGTGCATTTTTATGTATATGCATTTCTCTTTGGTCTCATAAAAAAGTAAAGTGTGTATTTTTTTCTAACTCTACAGTCATTACTAAATGAAAATTAAGTTGTTTTTAAGGCATATTTTTTAAAAGGAAAATGATGTTAATCTGAATGAAGGTTAAATAGAATCCCTTATAACACTCTGGCACTATGTGGTCACATCATTGAATTTCTGATAACTTTCATATTATACTTTAGTCTAACTACTCAAGATCAGTTTAGTTTTCTAGTGTTTAGGAAAGCTTAATGAAAAATATAAGACAACAGACAACTAGAAAACTAGACAGATAAACTGAAACAGACAACAGAAAACTAGATAATATAGACAGAGCGTTTTCCGTGAATGAAAACTAAAATGCATCAGTTTGACTCACAGTGGCCTCCTGCCTTCTGCTAAGTATGCACAACCTAAAGGTAATATTTTAAGTCTCATTCTCTGACAATGTAGTTTGCAAACATAGAGAAATATTCAGATGTAGAAGAATATGGCTTCTCTAATGGCCTTGTTTGTTTTTAGCTACAAGGTGACATATATAGTTCTGGAATGAAAGAGGCGTCATCGGGCAGAATATTTCAGTGGCTGTATTATGGGCCTAGCAAGTAACCTGCCTTGGAATTCCTCTTTATTATTTTGAGAACAAAGGCATGCCATTTAACTTTTTTCAGCCTCAGTTTTTTTTTTTTTTTTCCAACTGTGAGAAAGAGAAAGTGTCACCTATTTCTTGTTAAGGACTAAAGGTGTTAAAATGCTAGAATGTCTGGCACATAGTAGATATTTAATGAATGTCAGTTTATCTTGTCTTAGCTAAGAATTTTCATGCTTTACTATACAGATAACTCTTGGATTTTATCTGCATTCATTTCTTCTCCAAAAAAAGGGAACCAGGAAGAAGAGAAGCAAAAGACATAACTTTACAATGCCTAGCTAACATTATCAATGCCAAACACCTACTGGTCGTGGTAAAAATGATTTCTACTTCAAAAGACAAGATTGCTGTAAAAAATCATTGCTACACTATGAAGTTATGCTGTAATGTTACGCTATGAATTTGTTGTGCTATAAAGAGGAAAGAAGATGTTTAAGAACAAAACATGCTATCCAGAGCACACCTCCATTTTTGCAATTACAAAATGTCTTCTTTCTTTGCTTCTCATTTCTCCAGTTCCTCCCTCGTGACCTACCTTGAAGATCACCTATAAGCAGAACATGATAAATAGCATGCCCAGTAGAAATGGTAGTTGTGAGCACATTTAAAGTGCTCTGTGATGTTTTACTCTCAGCTGTATTGAAATATAGTTGGTGATGACTCATTCTAGAAATATGACTATTAAGAATGAGTACATTTATTTCTTCAATAATAAGAAAACCAACAGAATGGTAATCCCAGAATCTTAGTTCTACTTTTAACATTTCACACCCAGTAAGTTGGATAACGGATGGCAGAGTGAGCCTGCGTAGGTAATAACTTATTATTATTACCCTTACCGTACATGGCCCTTTTCCTTGTACTTTTCTCCTTGAGCCAATAATGACTTTGATGGTTCAGTCTTTCTGCACTTTGTAGAAACCATATCCCAAACAGTATTTTCTAGACATCAATTCTAGCATGTGAAAGAATCTAGACAGCCTCTCCGATTTTCATGCTTCTGGGACAGAAAAGTATTTATCACAGGTAATGATGATAATCCAGTTAAATTTGTTATGCCTTTCCTTACTTTCAAAGTTAATTTCCATTTTTCCATTTTGGATGCTGTGTTTTATGGAAATTGTCTGTAAAGAGTCTACTAGCCTTACATGTAATGGTCAGCAGACATATTTGATACCTTTCTTTTTCCTTTAGTAAAAGGAGTTGTAAGTAAGGAGCAAGTGAAAAGTGAAGGGGAATTTAGTATGTCTCCTATTTGGCAGCAACTGCGCATGCTATTCAATCTTTAAATAATTTTTAAGGAACTTGTCTCTTATTGTAAATTATGTCTGGAGAATTAGAAGTGCTACACATAAAAATTCTGTCTTTGGAATCAGTACAGATCCATGTTAACCTCGTTAAAATGATGACTTCTCATCTAACTTCAAATATTCATTTTTACCTTATTAAGTCATAGAGTTTAGCTAAGCACTGAGGGTATGTCCTTTTTGTTATTTTGATTCTGAAATCCTCCTGATGGTTTTTAGGGTAGTTATGGTTAAGATTTTGGTGCCACGCCTGATATTTCCTACCATTACTGTGGTAGTGATGGATTTCTTCTGTCTGGACCTCCGCTTCTAGTGGTTCTCTGATCTAAGCATGGTTGGAACTTTGTACTGACCTCATACTATGCCTAGTCACAGAGCTTGTAAAATACAGCCAAAATTTTATTAATTCAGCTATATCTCTTATCTCTAGAATTGGATCATCCATGGCTCCTCTGTCAGAGTTGTGAAAATGGTCAGCTTTGTTACGTTGAGCCTGAAGCACTGATCCCACAAATCAAAAGACCACGTGACTCAATTCCTAGCTCAGTCATCTTTTCTCTTTCGACCTTTGTGTATATACTTAGTGTACCTGTCTCTCGAAAGTGATTCCAGCAACATAGATTACATACCCCACTTAACAGATTAAATTTCATTAGACTTATCAACGAAGATCCTTTGTTGCCATATTGCTGCTATGATAGTCCTATATAGGAAACTCCAGCTTCCCATCAGGATTTGAAGCTAGACTTTACCATAAATTGCAACAGCTGCCAGCCTGTTGACCCAAGAAATGTGGTGCATTCAAAAAGAAGGAACAAACTCAGACAAGTAACCAGCTCTGTACATCAAAAATCCTTCCGGTTTCGGTAAACTATCCTGTGACTATCTAACTTTAGTCCCTGAAGGGTATTACGCCTTATTTACCTTACAAAACTGGCATCCTAGACCTTCCTAATTGAGTTGAACTTCAAATTCATTGTCTAAATCCTAAGAAATGTTGAATTTTCACAAACCCCATTTCCTGCCTGCTCTCTCCTTTTCTCCCATACATCCACCATCAGATTTTTTTTTGTTTACTTTCTCTCTGATAATTCATGAGTAAGTTTAAAAAAAAAAAAATGTGTGGCCAGAGTTTTCTGTTTTCTGTAGATATTGCTGTGGGTTTGCCCATGCCTAGTTCCAACTTTTAAATAAATATATATAATAATATATTTATGTTATAAATATATAATATATTTGTTATAAATATATTATATATTTATATAATTAAAATCTTATATGTAATTATAACATAAATATATATGATATTATATACATATATATATTTCTTTTTTTTTGAGATGGAATCTCGCTCTGTCACCCTGGCTGGAGTGCAGCGGTGCGATCTCAGCTCACTGCAACTTCTGCTTCTAGGGTTCAAGCAATTCTCCTGCCTCAGCCTCCCCAGTAGCTGGGATTACAGGCACACACCACCATGCCCAGCTAATTTTTGTATTTTTGGTAGAGACGGGGTTTCACCATGTTGAGCAAGCTTGTCTCAAACTCCTGACCTCAAGTGATCTGCCGACCTCGGCCTCCCAAAGTGCTGGGATTACAAGTGTGAGCCCCTCCACCCAACCGAAAAGAAATATTTTGATGCTATGAATGCATTTGTCATTTCTATTCTGTTTCATCCATGTGTTCTTCTTGTTTACCTTTGTAGTAGTCATTTACAGTGAAAATAATTGACAAATGACATGGTGTTATGTTCTTGAAAACAAACATACAAACAAAAACAAAAAATGAAAGCAGACAAATGAACAAAATGGCCAAGTAGGTGTTTAAAGGCTTAAATTGAGCAAAGAATAAAATGGTATTTTTTAAATGTTAAAGAATGATGATGTGTTTTAATAGTATTGTTAACTATTGAATCAATTTATGTTTAGTCTGCTTAAAATTATATTTGGATTCAAGATGGACTACTGCTATCAATTGATTAGATTGAAAACAAGCAAGCAAGAATCTAGACAACACAAATGGGGGAAAAAATAATGAGATGTATTGGACACTTTCCTGGCTGTAGGAAAAGAGCTTTGATAAAAGGAGTGATGAGATATAATTAAGCACAAAGTAACCTACATGCTTATTTATCAGTGAATCTTTCAGTTCCAGATCATTTCTTCTACAAAAAACTAAAGAATAAAAATCAGTCTTTCAGTCACTGGGTGACAGGATGCACTTTGATTTTTCCAGGAAAGGAAAGCCAGGATCACAGGCATGCGCATGCACACACACACAAACACACACATGCACACTCACACATACACACACAAGCTCAAGCGCGTGCACGCACAGTACTTTGGCAAGTAGAGTGTTAGCTCCCCAAGCATGAGCTTCAGGCCAGACTCAGTGGCTGTGATAGACCCATGCAGCCATTTGACAGATTTTGATAACCTTTTTATTCAAAGCAGCATGAAGGGCCAATGAAGGATTGCTGATTTTTTTTTAAGACAGGATCTTGCTCTGTTGCCCAGGCTGGAGTGTAGTGGCACAAACATGGCTCACTTTAACTTTGAACTCCTGGACCTCAGTTTCCCAAGTAGCTGGGACCACAGGCACGCACCACCATGCTCAGCTAATTTTTAAAATTGTTGTAAAGACAGGGCCTCACCATGTTGCCCAGGCTGGTTGAACTCCTGTGCTCTTGCCATCCACCCGCCTCAGCCTCTGAAAGTGCTGGGATTACACGTGTGAACAACTACACCCAACTGGATTGCTGAATTTTTATAACATGTCTCTGGTAACTAAGATCCTTTGAACTATGACCATTGAATTCCTAGGACTTGTGTGATCTCAGTAGAGCAATGACTCACTTCCCTCAGGTTTTCAGACTTAGAGGAAAATCCAAGGATCAGTCTGTAGTATAATGCTAGGCATGAAAGGCATGAGGAAATGATGGGAGCCTCCAGACAGAAAAGGTCTCCCACTGGTGACTGATTTCTATTCAGAGACAATGCCATCCCTGTGATTGAAGCTCCAACACACTGAAAAGGTGTGAAACCAAGAAAAGTCTCTCTTTCAATAAAAGTTTTCCATATTTCAAAAATTTTCAGAAGTAAGGATTTCTTAAGGGAAAAGCCATGAATAAATCAGGCCCTTTTTTTTTTTTTTTGAGACAGAGTCTTGCTCTGTCGCCCAGGCTGGAGTGCAATGATGTGATCTTGGCTCACTACAGCCTCCGCCTCCCTGGTTCAAGTGATTCTCCTGCCTCAGCCTCCTGAGTAGCTGAGTAGCCTCCTGAGGCGTGTGCCACCACACCCATCTAATTTTTGTATTTTTAGTAGAGATGGGGTTTTGCAATATTGGTCAGGCTGGTCTTGAACTCCGAACCTTGTGATCTGCCTGCCTTGGCCTCCCAAAGTGCTGGGATTACAGGCGTGAGCCATCGTGCCTGGCCTAAACCAGGCCTTTTTAAAGAATAGGATCAGAGGTCTGGTTTCTTCTTCTTAGCAAGGTCTTGTTTTCCTGGTAAGGCCTTGTTTTCTGCTTAGAGGCATCACTACAACCAGCCTGTCATCTGTGAACTCTTCCCTTGGTGGGATTCAGAAGTGTAGCTCCTGCATATGTCTCTCCATTATGGGAGTCACTGGATTCTGTGGTTATTTAATTAGAACATGCCTCACTAGGTGTTGGCTACACCTATTTGAGCTGAACTAGAAATGCAAATTCCTGCTACACATATTTTGCATTACAAAGTGTTCTACTTTTTGAAAGCTTTTGAGTAAATGGCAAATCTCAACTGAAGACTTTGACTCTTCTACAGGAACTGCATGGAAATGTGAGGAACCGAATTGGAAGAATGAACACAGCCTACCATTTGGTTTTCAATGCTTTGATTTTTAGGTGGCTTTGTAGTAATGGATGGAAAGAACAAAGATCTGTATTAAACACATGCTTGCAGCGTCTACAAAAATGGTTTATGTTTTAAAAGAAGCAGGGGAAGACCTCAGTCATTCTGAGTTATTACAGCTCCAGGAGATGGAAGTGTTTTATTAGCCCATATATATATAGATAGATACAGTGCTACCAGGAAAAAACTAATGAATTATAACTAAGGTCCTATGTATGGACCTTAATATTCCTTGTGTCTGACGATGCAGGAATTTAGCCAGGCAAGCTGAGATAAGGCCCTAACCTTTGCTCTACTTTTCTTTTTATGATCTTCTTCCACATGCCCTTTTTTGGTTTAAATATAACCAAGATGATTTCCATTAGATTTTTCTAACAACTGCATGATGTGTGTGCGTGCGTGTGTGCATGTGTGTGTGTGCATGTGCGTGTGTGTGTGTGTGTGTGTGCATAGCAGCAAAGCCAGATGATGATAGCAGGATGCAGAACCCCAATTTTTTTTAATATTATGTAATGTAGAAAAGGAGTGTGCACACCTGTTTGCTTCCTTCCCATTGAACAACATTAGGTTGAAAGCCAACAGTAGAAAAACAGGTGCTTGTTATGTTTGAGTGTGGAGCCCCAAAAATGGAAAAAGAAGAAAAAGAAAAAGCACCGGGTTTTAGGGAAGGCTTCTTTAGGCATAATGTAAAGTTAATTTATCATTTTGGCCCTGTTCCACTAAAGACACAGAATTTGCGGCAATACTACCTCCCCATGGCCTATTTCTCTGAACTAAAATGTACATTTTCTTTAGAGAAGCAAGAACTATTATGACCAGCTAGTCCTGGTTTTGGGTGGCGGGGGTGGCAAGAAAAAAAAGGAAATCGTTTTCTTTAAGTAAAGCACTTAAAATTATATGTTTTTTTGAAACTGGTTTTATTCCTGTTCAGATTGGTCATGAGTGAAATGACGTAGAGTACTTTAAAAAGTTAGATTTTCATGTGTTATTTGGTTACCATAGAATTTGTACTGGAAACCTAACAGCAGATATACATTTAATAACACAATGTATTACAGGGAGACATGTTTTGCTACTCTGATCGTGAACTTGGGAACAAGGAACTCCTGGGAGTTGTGGGAAAATATATGGACTGAAATTAGCCAAGTGTTATGGAGCAAGATTCATATGCTCAAACCTACTTTTACTGCTTCGTTGCTTTCCGTGCAGCAATTTCTGGCCTCAGTGAGGAAAATGTTGTGTTTGTGGAAACATAAACTGGCTATTTATGTCCACAACCATCACACAAACACAGAACTGCAGTGATTTGGCTAAATGGTATATAGCAACGTGCAGTCTGGGGTTTTAGAGAGGCGTGTTTCAAGCTGCATGGGCGACATTCTAAGGAATATTAGGCTTTTTACCTGCAAAGCCACTGTTCAAAGAGGCCTGGCTCAAACCCGAAACACTTGGAAGATTGTGTCTAAATCCTAGAACCCACTTTTTGCTACACTTTTAGGGAGGCTCCTTGCCTCAAAGTACTGAAAGTTTAGATTGTTTAAAACATTTGTCAGAAATCATTTCCTGGAGTGAAGATGCTTCTATAACTCATAGGCACATCACTGCCTTCATCATCTCTGTAAAAAACATATCATTTCAAGCCAACTATGGTATTGTCCATCTTAATGGGATCCTTTATATCAACAGACACGTAGTCTAGTGAGATTAGGAAAGCACAGTGACAGCTTTACCTGTAACAGACGTTTTAGTGTTACCGGTGAGTATTGCATATTGAGAATGGGCCTCAGTTCCTCTGTTAACATGATGAGTGTTTCCTAGATTGCGTGAAGAGTAATGAGAAAATGTGTGATAAGCAGTTTGAATGCCTTTGAAAGAGGTGTAGTACAAGGTGTGAAATACAAAGGAACTCCAGCAGTTAGCTCTTCTCAAATTTTCATGTATATAAATATAAAGTAGTGTCATTTCCTGAATATGATCCCTATTCTTTTTCCATCATTTTCTTGCAAACACTGTTATCCTCAAACCCTCTTCTACTCTCACCTCCTTCACTAGTCTCATCTCCATGTTTTCCCGTTCCAAAGGCTGCAGGAGAGACCATTAGTTTCATTAATTATGGCCCTACTCAAAAGCCTAACTCTCTTCATGGCCTACATATTAAACATTAATTCCAACCAGATTATCAATGGCTTCTCTGGTATGGTTGCATTATTATTTTATAGCTTCATTAACTTCACCTCCTTATTTATAATCCATGTCCTAGTCAAATTGAACTGCTGCCTCTCACCACCAAACATGACATTTACTTTCTTACCTCCGCATTTATTTGTTTTTTCCCTTTAGTGGAATGCCATCTTCTCCCACAACCATAGGCCAAATTCACCTTCTTAATATATGACTCTTTTAATATAGTTCCCATTCTCACATTTATTGTTAAATTCATGCCTGACTGACCTAACTGATTGATATTTTCTGTTGCTGCTGTGAATATGATCACATTATTTCACTGGGTTTTCTTGATGGTTACTACTGGTATCCAACCATATCATCTCCAGATCGTGATTATTTTATCTTCTCATCTTCTAAAGCTGTATCATAATTTTTTTATTCCTGCCTTACTGCATTGATTAGAACTTTTAAGAGCAATGCTGAATAGTAGCACTGATAGTCAATATCCTTTACTTGTGTTTGACAGTCATGGAAATCTCCCCTAGAGTTTCACTGTTAAGGATCATTTAGATTATTAGCTAAAAGCAGATATTCTTAGTGATACAGAATATCATTCTAGTTTTACAATATAAAGACATGTTTTGAAAAACCTAAAATCATTATATTTTTGCATTTTTAAATTTTAAATATAAATATAAGCATATATTTAAACAAGTACATATATAATATCCATTTAAACATGCATATTAAAAACCTGAAAATACAAGGGATTGTGTAATGAATCTCCATGTAGCCATCACCCACTTCAGCCGTTATCAGTTTTGTTTCATCTTCATCCCAGTCATTTCCCTTCTCTCTTACTATTTTATAGCAAATCCCAGACATCTTATCATTTAATGTATAAATATTTCAGTATGTATCTCTAAAAGATAAGGACTCTTCTATTTTTAAATATATCCATAACATGTTTGACACACATAAAAATTAATGATAACCCCTTAATATTATTATTCATTATCTAATCCATGATCAGATTTCCTACATTTGTAACTGTTTGAATCAGGATCTGAATAAAATTCACAACCATTTTGATTGGTTGCTATATTTCCTAATGCTATTTTAAGTGTTGATATTCGAATTTTTCTCCTTTTTTCACTCTTTGTTTGATTCTAGCCCTAGCTCCCTTTGTCTCTTTTTTCTACGTTTAACTTTTTTTTAAAGAAACCAGGTTGTTTGTCCTGTAAAGTTCTCTGGGTTTTATTGCATCCCCTCTTGATGCCACTTAATTTAGTCCCTGTTGGTTACATGTATGTGGATGTTTGATTAAATTCAGGTTTGATTTTTAAAGATAATACTGAATAGTTTTACAAAAATTGACTTTCTAATTTCATCAAAGGTTGATTCGGTATCCATTGAAATGACCATATGACTTTTATTTGTTGATGTGCCATGATGTTTTTTTTTAAATTTGTTGAATAAGATAATGAATTTACCTTATGATTTCTCTCTTTTGACCTTTCAGCTACTTTCATTTCTAAGTGGGCTTTAGTTGGTGAATAAATTAACATGTCATTAAATGTCACATGGTAATTTCAGTAGCTTGTTGAATAACTGAATCCTTGATTCTTGTTGGATGTTCAGTCCTCTTTGTTTTGATTTGTTTTGCTTGGTACGAAAGATTTGACTAGTTTGGAAAGTGACAGGTTAACATTTTCTACATTGACTTGACCTTCTTCCACCCAAAATGATCCTGGTAGAAAATGCAGAGTATAGTAAAGAATGTGTGCCTTCCACATTTAGCCTGGTGAGGTCTATAAATATATCAAATTAAGCCAGTCAGATGGCCTGCTGATATTTGCTTTGCAGGCTAGACGGATTGTACTCCTTTAGAATCTAAGTATTGATGGAAAAAGATTCAAGGGACAGCTTGAAAGTTTGTGGACTCCGGCTATGGAAATTTTATACTCATATAAAACTGTCAGTGATTAGTAGAAAATATGTAGCAGAACTGTGTTTCTGGAATTGGCTTCTCAGCTAAGAAAAGATTATTGGCTTTGTGAAGAAGAAAATGTAGCTTTCTTGTAACTCCATTTAGTCAATTATCCACTATGGGAAGATACTTTTCTTCTTCTTTGGAAAAGCTATGACATCCTCCATGGTATTCGTATCATTGAGATGTTTCTCCTGAGAAATAGTAGACTTAGGATGATTAGACTGTGCCATGAGTAAAATGCACTGTCTGAAAAAAACAGAAAAAAAACAGCAACTTGTAGGTTTGAAAAATAACCTTTCCTGGCAATCTTATTATTCTAAGGATAACACTGTCTAATGACACCAAATCATTTGCTCAGCCACTGCTGGGAACTTAGAATCTGCTTTCTGTTTAGCTACAAATGAGATCAGTGTTACAACAAAAATTATAATTTTGTTTTATCAGGAGAAACACCCAAAGGTCACTTTTCATTCTGCTGAATAGGAAGAAATGATATCAGGGTCTGCCCAGAAAGCTTGTAAGGGAGAAAGGAATCTTACCCACTTAGGAAGCATTTTCTAATTCACTTATGTGACCTTGGGCAGCCTTCCCCTGTGCACTTTTGTGAATTCTTAGCTAGAGGTATTTTACTAAAGACTGCAGAACTATTCTTTTGAGATGATCTGTATCCTCCTTTAAAATATAGGATAAACTATAAAATGTGCTAAGATCCTTGATAGTCCTATCATTCTATATATGTTTGAACAATGCCAAAGCCCAAGTTCATCAGTTAAACCAGTTAATCTCCATTGGCCCTTGGTGTCAACTTGTTCTTTGGACAAAGTGTCACCTTGTAGGAAGTCTACAAACCTCTAAGTGCTCCCAGCGTATTAGCTAAGTCCTGAGCTCCATGGAGTTGGATGCCCTAATTCTGCTTTAGAAAGTCCTAGTTCCATTAACCGTCTCCTGAGAATTCTCCTGGCTTCCCTTTTTGTTTCTTGAGCAGAGTTCAGTCAAGGAGAGGTCAAGAGAGATGATACATTACTTCCAGTCACTGTATTGGCTCTGGGAACCTCCAACTCTATGCAGGTTCTTTGATCTCCTCTGGCCACTTTCTTTCTTTTTCAAGTACATATTTGCTATTCAGCAAAGGATTGAATGACTTCTCAGGAAAAAATGCCAACCCAGAATGACAAGGCTTCCGTGGTTCTGAGCCTGGCTCTGAACCTTTCCTTTGGAAAACTAATGACTCCACCTATCATTCCCTTGGCATCTAGAGAAGCTACATTAGGTGGCACAGCTCTTTCTGCTCAGCTTCTGCTCCAGAGCTTCATCTTCAGGAACCACCTAAGCATTTTTTTCCCCAGTAGGAGTTCAGTCTGCTCATTATACCTAATTGCAAAGGAGCTATATTCAGAGCAAGAATAATAATTTCAGATTTTTTAACTGGACTTCAAAGAGCAGGAAAGTATGCAGATTCCTAAACACATAAGCATTGAAGATATTACAGGTAAGGTTAAAAAAAATCTGTAATTTTGTAGTGACTAGCAGTTTAATATTCAAACATTTAAAATGTGCATATTTTATTAAGCAAATGGCGTAGAGTTATTTGGTTTAATTTTCTGTAAGTAACTCGTAAAGAATTGTCCTAAAAGCTGTGGGTGAGGACTAATTCATTCAAGGGAAACAGGATCTAATGATTGCTTTGTGAGGTATATATACACTGTATACTCATGCTAATTCCTGCTAATTGTCAAAGAAGAATAGTGGCTTTTTATCAGCAGTTTGCATTTGTGTAATGGTCCTGGTCTACTGGTTTTGTCTACTTCACTGATAAGGAAAACACCACTTAAAACAAGCAAGAAAAGCAAGCCATCCTTTACAGTATTATTTTCTTTTTAGCCTGTCTTGAGAAGAAAAAAACCTAGCCTTCTACAGGAAATACTGTTTGATTCCATGGGAAAATATTTAGTAACAAGCAGAGAACACTTGATTATTTCTCAGCTATTTATTCTGAGTATTTACAAAATGGGCAATAGTATTATTTCCAAAATCTTAAGTTGTAAACGAAGTTTATATTACAGTCTACATGCTATGGATATGACACTATTTTAAAATATTTTATACTTTAAAAAATTGTTATAACACATAATACATAATATTGTAAGTAAGTTTAATTCTTGTAATTTGGAAATTCAGTCAGAAATATTAAAGAATTATGTAGATCTTGAAAGGGTAAAATAATCCTGCATTTATGATATTAATTTCTCTTAAATTGTTCAATTTTATTTTATAAGGAAATTAAGTGGTTATACATTTTTGACAAGTAGTTTTGATAAAGTTAAACACAGATTATTGATATTTACTTAATGCTTTATAATCACTCAATGATTGTCACTCCAAATTAGGCCATCTTTTTTCACATTTTGCAGAAGAATAATTTCCTAAGAAACAACTATTGAGGCTTGGTTATATATGTAACATTTCAGTCTGGGCAGAATTTCTTTTTTTACTTTTGTTTGCTCAATATTTATGTCATTAGTAATAGTAACAGTATCATATATTTGTGTGCAGTGTTGCAACTGACAAAGTGTTTTAATAAACTTGGCAACAACCCTTTGGTATCCATTTTTGCAGCTGAATTTTCTAAGACAGGTAGATAGAGAGAAGTCCCACAGCTAATAATTGGAAAATTGTGCCTTGGACCTGATTCTTCCCAGCCAACTTCAGTGTTCATTTCAGTACATTTTATCTATGAAGGGTTTCTTCTAGGGAGAGTTGGTCATGGTCTTACAATTTTTAACCCCAGTGATTTTGGTTGTTATCATTATGTCTTGCACATAATAAACAGTCACTAAAGAATTGTGGGTCAGGCGTGGTGGCTCACGCCTGTAATCCCAGCAATTTGGGAGGCTGAGGTGGGTGGATCACGAGGCCAAGAGATGGAAACCATCCTGGCCAACATGGTGAAACCCCCTCTCTACTAAAATGCCAAAAAAAAAAATTAGCCGGGTGTGGTGGCGCATGGCTGTAGTACCAGCTAGCTACTCAGGAGGCTGAGGCAGGAGAATTGCTTGAACCTGGGAGGCAGAGGTTGCAGTGAGCCAAGTTTGTGCCACTGCACTCCAGCCTGGCAACAGAGCTAGACTCCATCTCAAAAAAAAAAAAAAAAAAAAAAAAAAAAAACAATTGTGGAAGGAGGTGAGGAAGGAAGGACGGAAATAAGGAAGGAGGGAAAGAAGGAAGGAAGGAAAGAAAGAAGGGAGGGAGGGGCAGGCTGAAAGGAAGAAAGAAGAAGGGCATGAAGGAAGGAGGGAGTCCTTTTGTGTGGTAAAGGATTTTTGGAACCTCTAAATGATAATAGTAGTCCCCCAGTTCTCAGCTATTTCAGAGAACTGTCCAGCTTCCCCAGCAATGATCATTTGTCCTGACCTTTTTTGCCAAGGCAAACCAGGTCTAGAGTAAAATACTACAAAATACATTCTCTGGTATTAAAAAGGAATGGCCAAAACCGTAATTACTTTTGCACCAACCTAATAGTAAGTTTCTGCTTTACCTTATACTTTCTTCCTTATAATACTGTAGTTGTTGACATACCAAGGAAAGTGTGTTTGGGATAAAGTGGTCACATAAATGGCAAACATCAAAGTAATGTCAGATTTTGTAGTGTTTCTAATTGCTGTTCATTTTGTAGTCACTAGAAGACAACTTACAAATTGTGAAAAACTAGTCATAAATCAGAGGGAGACAAGGTTTAGTGAGATCCAGTTCACCTCCTTCCTGGAACAACTATTGGGGGGTATCATCTTTTATATATTGAAACATATTTTATCTTCCAAATCTTTAGTTTACCTTTAATACAACTCCTCCCAGCCCCCCCAGAAAGAATGCTGTTTGCTCTGATTGGCATAGGACCGGCTTTGTCGGTTTCATTACATCCTGGTTGAATTACCAAATGGAAACTGATTTAGGAATACTGAGTGTGTACGGCACAGAGAAAAAATATCACTGCGAAATTTATAGGCCTGTGTAAGACTGTCAGGGCCCTGTGTTCAAATAAAGAGAGCAAAAGGAAACCTGGCGAAAATCACCATCTCCATCCCGGCTTCTTCCGACAATTACAACTTATTCCTGTGCTTGGCTGCTGGTTTGGAGCAGCTGCATCCACTCAGGTAACACTTCGCATCACCTGGGAGCTCATTGTTGCCTTACAATTCGTGATCATTTTTTGATCTCACTACTGCTAAAGGATAAAAGTGCTAAGCATAATAATCCATAACTGTATGAGATACTTGCTACTTCATTTCCCTCCAAGAATCATTTTGCTATGAAATATCCCATTACTAGTTTCAGGTAATGATCTAAGAATTTTTTAAATGACTATGTCAGAGCTAGGGGCTTCAGGATAGCATTACAAGGATAATCATTTCAGAGAGTTATATTTTTAAGGCCTTTTAAAAAGAGGGTTGTTTCTAGTTTTTAACATATTTGTTAATCTTATTTTGATGATCTCATAAAATCAGAGTCTAAGGAAGAGATGTGTCTATGTGTTGCTTATGTCACTGCTTTTTTTTATTGTTTACATTTTATAAGGAGTGTCTACATTTGGGGGGGAGTTGGAATGTTGGTTTTGTTGTTTTTAGCAAAAGCCTTGGCATTTGTCCTGAGAGAGCTCATGCAGTGTTTGCTGTTCAGGTTGCATGAAGGGCAATCTTTAGCAACCTGTCAGAGATGCAAAGGCCACTAGGGTCTGCTTGAGGTTCAGAGTTCCTCTGCAGGACTGCGTGGTGACAGCACACCACAGGTGGCCCATTCAGCACTGTCATCTGGGACAGCAAGGATACCCTGCTCCATTTGTCATCCTATGGAATTCTGTCAGCAGTTGAAAGCCTTTCAGCACAAAACCTTTAACATTCGAGGCAAACTTCCTAATTTTTTTTTTTTTTTTTTTTTTTTTTTTTGAGACAGAGTTTCTCTCTGTCACCCAGGCTTCAGTGCGGCAGTGCAATCTCGGCTCACTGCAACCACCACCTCCCAGGTTCAAGCGATTCTCCTGCCTCAACCTCCTGAGTAGTTGGGATTACAGGGGCACGCCACCATGCTTAGCTAATTTTTGTATTTTTAGTAGAGACGGGGTTTCACCATGTTGGTCAGGCTGGTCGCAAACTCCTGACCTCATGATCCTCCCATCTCGGCCTCCCAAAGTGCTGGGATTACAGGCGTGATCCACCGTACCCAGCCCATTTCCTGATATTTTTAAAGGCAATTGCCGTGGATGAAAATATTAATACATAGCACCTAAATAAGTAGTTTTTTACATGAAAGGATATTATGTTAAGATTATATGCTGTGTGATATATAGAAATGTTGTATACTCCATGATTTTACAGACCAAACAATGCAAATCATGTTTCCCCTCTTCTTAATGAAGATGTTAAAGTATAACTGATAATTGATGGTAAAAATCACCTGTCTACTCATTCTTTCTTATTCCTTTTGTTTAGTTTGTTTGCTTTGTAAGCCTGGAAAAGATGCCTTGAAATGTATTTTGAAAATAGCTTTTTGTTGGAGTAATAAAAAATTAGTCCAATTCTTATTTATCCATAGTAATGATTCCAGAATAACATGCACATCCTTAGGAATAAAGTTCTCCTTTAAAAAAATAAATAAATAGCATACATCTTTGAAGTCCCCAGATTTCCATTGTCAAGATTTTTCTCTCTTATACATACCCAAATTAAGAGCCTTCCCTGCTTGCCCATTAATATTTGCTATTATTCATTGAATGCCAATTTTTTTTTGCCAATTCCTTTATCTAGATTATTTATAACCTCTACAGAATTCTGTAAGAGTGCCATTACCCCTCTTTTCTTAATGGGAATATTGAGCATCTGAGTGGTTAAATGACTTATTCAAAGCCAGTAGGAGACAAGACTTGAACCACATCTGTCTCCAAATCCAAGTTGTTTTGAGTGTCTTTTGCTGTTATTCGAAAAAGCCATGCTGAGATCAATGAAAGGGGTCCAAAAACATGCCTTAGACAGGATAATAAGAGGTAAGCAAGGCCATGAGTAATTCAGAAATGGAATAATCAGATATTGAGTATTCCAGTCAGATAGAATAAAAATCAAGCAGGGGAGAAGACAAAATTAGGTTATGTGTCACAACAAAATGTAGACTTTCGAAGGAAATGAACAGGAAAGGCAGAAGAAAATGGAAAAGTAATACATGGCAGGTCAAATAAAAGTAAACAAGGTCATATGAAACTCACATGCAAATAATAAAGTAGAAACTAGTAAGGAAGACAGAAAGGAATTAAAAAGGAATTAAAAATTCATAAGAATGTTATCAGTAGACAAGACAAAAAATTGCCTCTAAAGATGGATTTTTTTTTTTTTCCTAAAAGAGTATATAGAATCTGTACTGGCTTGATATACTGGTTTTGCTTTTCATCCTGAAAATATCATTGATAAACATTGTGTATATTAGACTATTTTTGGTTGGGACTGAGTATTGCCCATGGTGTTCCCAATGATATGAGAAGAAACATCCTGGTACTAAATGCCCTGGTGGCCTGGGGCTGAGAGCTTTGGCTTTGTATAATTCATGCACCCACTTTCATGTAACATGAAGTTTGACAAGTGAATATTAAGTTCATTATATGAAGGTGTTGCAAACCAAACTTGAAACTTATTTCTACCTCTCATTCTAAATGGAGATATTTTGTAGTGCTTTAGTCTACATTTACAGTGATATTAGACTCTTTCCATTTCCTTAAAAGTATGATGGCGTTTGGACATTCAACCATGTTCCTCTAAGAAATTAGAGTAGAAAAGAAATTTAGAAGAGAATGGCTTCTAATCTGCATGTTGATATGTATCTGACTAATAATCTATAATGTTTTCATTTGGAACAAATAAGCCAACTTGTGTTTCTTTTTCAATATATACATCATGTCTAAAAAATGTAAAGTCAATAGGCATGTAAAACATTTCAAAAATAAATAATTTTATCAATTGATTGCCATTAAAAATAGATGTCTAAATTGAGCTGCACTGACATGACTTTATACCATTACCTTGAACCTTCCTGAGAAATGTATTTTGCTTAATGACAATAGAGCTTCTCTTTTCCAACTACCTGGAAGATAAAATATTGGTTAAAAAATGTTGAGCCTCTTTTCCTATTTAGTTATAGTAAAATTAGTTAACTCTATAATTCTCTCTTTTATAATTTGATTCTATGTAGTGAGACCACAAACAGCTTAACTTCTCTGCTATTGTTTGTAAGGTCTGCAAGTTTAGTGAAATCTGTACCTTATATGAACTCTTCCTTTTAGGATAATTTAAGATTAAAGGCTGCTTAGAAGGGGGAAAAAAAGTCCATGTTAACCTTTCTCCTTTCTCTCCTCTTCAGCTACATCTACATCCACCACTGGGACAAGCCATCTTGTAAAATGTGCGGAGAAGGAGAAAACTTTCTGTGTGAATGGAGGGGAGTGCTTCATGGTGAAAGACCTTTCAAACCCCTCGAGATACTTGTGCAAGTAAGAAAAGAAATCCTGTGTGTCGCTTATGTCTATAACTCCTTGTTTCAGATGATTCTATGTCTCATGATGTATTGTTGCTTTTTTTCCAATTTTGTTGCATCATGTTGAATAATGCTGTTTTATATGTAGAGTGTTTTAAAACATTCACACCATTCGTCATCACTCCTCTGTCATATGCAGAATTGTTTTTTGCTCTTTTCAATGTGTGTGAGGTGTTTTTTGTTTTTGTTTTTGTTTTTTGCCATGTTATTTATAGTGTTGCTTTCCTTGTGGTTTTTCTTGTTGTTATTCAGAAAAGATGTGCAGATATCACAGAGGCCTATAACTTTTGGTATCTACTTCTACATCCAATGTATGAATTAAGCTGTAAGATAATGTTGCTTTCTTATCCCAGTGATCACCTGCCAAATGAATAAGACAACAAAGAGAAGCAGAAGGGCAGAAGATTATTTACTGACATATATCTATTACACTTGGGATTGTCTTACTGTTGCATAACTATTTTTTAAACGGAGTTTAGTTTTATATTGCTAGTAAAAAAAGAGAAAAAAGTAAATTGCATATATTTGGAAATACATTGTATGTAGCATCCCTGTGGGTGACAGCAGTGTTCTTTCATTTGTCTATAGATATATCTAGAATAGCACTGTCTTTCCAATGACCTGAAGGAGTTGATGCACCATTAAGAAGTATCCAATTTAGGCCTGGGCACAGTGGCTCACGCCTGTAATCCCAGCACTTTGGGAGGCCGAGGCGGGCAGATCACGAGGTCAGGAGATTGAGACCATCCTGGCTAACACCGTGAAACCCCGTCTCTACTAAAAATGCAAAAAAAAATTAGCTGGGCGTGGTGGCACACGCCTGTAGTCCCAGCTACTCGGGAGGCTGAGGCAGGAGAATGGCGTGAACCTGGGAGGTGGAGCTTGCAGTGAGCCGAGATTGCACCACTGCACTCCAGCCTGGGTGACAGAGCGAGACTCCGTCCCAAAAAATAAAAAAAATAATAAAAATAAAGAAGTATCCAATTTATTCTCTCTCAACAGGCAGCGTAAGATAGTGATAGTATCAGTACATTAAATATTTAAACCTTGTAGTAAAAACTAATAGGACTCATTAAAAAGTATGTTTATTTTGCCATGCATTTTAAGTTTACTGTTGATATTTAGTCTACATATGGTATATGGACTTAAAATTTGATGTGGGCATAAAAATATATTTAATATTTTATTGAAATGATGAAAATACACCTTTGTTTTCCTCTTTACCAACAGCTATATCCCAAAAGCAAGGTATTTTAAAAGTCGTTCCTTAAAAAATGTAATGTAGAACATCTAATAAATTTTGCCAGCAGTCCCCAGCGAAAACATGCAGTGGGGACATTATTCTAAAGCAGCAATGCTTGTTCTAAAGGAGGGAAAACCATTTTGTCACAAAAACTGTTTTCTGCTAGAATATTGGCGTGTGACTTAAATCTTGACAAGGAAGAACAAGTCTGTTAGAGAGGCAATTGAACTGATAGGAGCAATTAGCAAAATGAAAAAGGCACCAGAAATAGTCAACAAAGCCATGTCCCTTTTACATCACAGAAATACTATATAAATATTTAGGTGCCAATTCTAATAAAATCTTAATTATATTTATAAGTAAGGAAGTGCATCTTAAAAAACATATGTTTTAAAGACAAAAAAAGCAACGATCGAAAATGCCATTTTGTAGGCCATGTTTTGCTGCTCTCTGAGCTGTGGTAGATTGGGCGTGTCTGTAGCGTGCCTGATGGGACCTCATGGCTCTGAACAAGCACCTTCCAGAACTTCTCCTTTGTTGCACTCTAAAGCTCTTCTTTGAAAAAAGTAGATACAGTGCCAAGACAAGTGTTGGTGGTTGTATAGCTGATTTTATCAAAGACAGACAATTTGTAAAAGTAAATGTAATCTGTTAGAGTGAATAAAAGACTTAGAGCCAGAACAGTAAAATTCTAATCTCAATTACTAAACATCTCTTTCACGGAAATAAATAATTTTTATAAGCCAAAGTGAAATGATAGGTAAAAGTCTTGCAAAAAATATTAAAGCAAGATGAAATACGAGTATGAGGCCAGGTGCATGCCTGTAATCTCAACACTTTAAGAGGCCGAGGCAGACGGATCTCTTGAGCCCAGGAGTTGGAGACCAACCTGGACAATGTAGCAAAACACCATTGCTACAAAAAATACAGAAAAATAATTAGCCGGGCATGGTGGCATGCACCTGTAGTCCCAACTATTCGGGAGGCTAAGGTGGGGGGATCACTTGAGCCCGGAAGGTTGAGCCTGCAGTGAGCCAAGATCATGCCACTGCAGTCCAGCCTGGGTGACAGAGTAAGGCTGTCAAAATAAATAAATAAATAGAATAAAAAATTAAAAAAAGAGTATGTAGAAAAGATCATTCCTTTTAGATCTGAATTATCTCATACGACTATGTTTATTGTTTAAAAAATAATCTTAGAGATTCACTTCTTGGTCACTAAAATATTCAAATCTATATGCTTGCAGCAGAATAAAAATCTGTCTGATTTAGTCTTTAGTTCTGCTGACTTGCTGTGAATACAGCACAAATATGAGACATCCCCATATTTATCATAGCAAATTGGGATGAACCAGGTTTTTAGTTTGTAAGGTTTTCTCTGATCAAAATAGAAAATGCCAGAAGCTGAGAATTGTAATCTATAAAATATGAGGTTCATTTGTTATATGGGGAAACCTTGTTATTTTTTCCTAATCTTAAGCATACAGTGTAATTGTATTTTAATAAATCTCCTTGAAAAAGCATTTAAATTATAGGTCCTTAAATTCTTCTCCTTTTTAAACAGTGTACCCATATTATCTATGTCTCATATTTTTACTTCTTCAGAAAAGCATCTGAGACCACTATATTTTAATTATAGTAATGAAATATGATCATTTTTCATCATCACTTAGCAAAGATTTACAAGCTGAGTGAGTGCATATGATAGTTTCTGCATACCTCTAAGGAACCAGGGCAGTTCTTTTCCACATATTAATTTCAGCTATTCTTTAGCCCTCCCACGTCCAATACAAAACATGCAATCGCGTAAGTGCTGTTCAGTTTTTTCATTTTAATATTGTGCCAACAACTGCAATTTTTCTTCACTCAACACAGTTTCTCATTAAATCTTAAGCCTAATCCAGTAGTAAAAACGTGCTATATTTTAAAAATCTTGAAGTGAAACATTTGTTACTCTTCTGATAATTATTAAAGCCCCAAGCCATCCTCTGAGCTAATTGTCTAGTGGATCATTCTTGCCTTCTAGTTCTAAGAAATTACACCTTTTTTTTTTTTGTAATTAGGATCTTTTAGGTAAGTTATTTAAATTATTACTGGATCTTATCAGAAAGAAAATCTTTGACATCTATGATTTTGATAACTTCCCCCTCCTTTGAGATGGTGACTTTATTCACATATTAAAGCAAGCCAGAACCTTGAGGGAAGAATTGGAGAGTATATTTTACATCCAAAATACTTCAAACCTTTCTCGTTACATGAAACTGTTTTTATTTTTTTAAATCCTGTATGTAAAATATGTATAGCATTAAAAATAATCACTAGTCAGAATTTAAACAAAGACATAATATACTAGGTCTTATGATAATACATTGTTCACTAGACCACTTGAATAGAAACAGAAGACATAAAAATATTGCATTGGCTCATCATGGTCCTGTCTATGAAGCCAGTTCATAGTTTCCATATGGTCTATCTGTCTAGAGCTAAGCATTGCTGAAGCATGAGCCACATCATTGAAAATCAGCTTTATCCCTGACTAAAGACATGACTCAGAAACACCACAAGCATGGAAGTTTCCAAGTAGTCTCTCTGGTCACCTAATCTGCTGTTGTCTTCTTGGGAGTTGAAGTAGAAGATGTTACAGCAAATCTCTTTTGTCTCTCTGCTTAGAACAAGGTGTTTCGAATGGATTAAACATATTAACAGTGAAAAACTTCTCTGAGGAGAGGTTTCCGGATTGCTTGGACCTCCTCCTGGGGACTGTGTGGGAATTTCAGTGGTAGTTCTCATCTTTTATATTTTGTTTCTCTACAGTAATTTAAAATTTATTCTGTGGAAAAAATAGTTACTATTCCAGATTATAAAAAGATGAGAAAAGAATCATTCCATTTTGTACCCTCTGATGCTTTATGTAGTCCTGTGGTTCAAAGAAACAAGACACATGAAATCAAACATGAAATTGTCCAGATTTCCTCTTGCATCTTTTCTCTATTCTTGTGTATCTGTTCTTCTGAACAGTTTCAGTGGAGAACTACTTTGGAAGATGTTGATGTGATTTTTTTTAATCTAAAAATTATTTTATATCAGGCTGTGCTTATAAGTCCAACATGTTGTCCAGTGGACAGATGTGCCTTCATCTGGAGGGGATTAGAGTTTTAAACTACCAATTTTGGTGAACAGTCTTATGTCCTTTCACTTCAACTCTCTGGACAATATATTTATTTATAACATGAAGTTAATATGTTCTCCAAATTTCTTCCCAGGGAGTCAGTGAAATTAAATGAGTTCATTTCTGCTAAAGTACTTTTAACTCTGGGGAAGCAAAATTTATTTTTCCTTATAATAAAAAGTAAATGGTAGTATTACATTCTCTCAGTAGACATTGGAAAAATATATACACCTGTTTTAACAGACTGTGTTATCATGTTTAATTTCTTTTTTTTTTTTTTTTTTTTTTTGAGATGGAGTTTCATGCTCTTGTTGCCCAGGCTGGAGTGCAATGGTGCAGTCTCAGCTCACTGAAACCTCTGCCTCCCAGGTTCAAGCGATTCTCCTGCTTCAGCCTCCCAAGTAGCTGGGATTACAGACATGCACCACCATGCCCAGCTGATTTTTTGTATTTAGTAGCGACAGGGTTTCACCACGTTGGTCAGGCTGGCCTCAAACTCCTGACTTCAGGTGATCCACCTGCCTTGGCCTCCCAAAGTGCTGGGATTACAGGCATGAGCCACCATGCCTGGCCCATGTTTAATTTCTAATTCTTTATTTTACTTAAGAGTAGCAGTTTTATTTGGTTTGTTGGGACCACCAACTATCTTTATAACTTTTCTTTGACAGATCGTTTAATATTTCTGATCATTAGTTTCCTTATAATGCAAAAACAACAAAAAACAAACTAAATTTGGAAAGATGGAAGGTATCTGTAAACATAGACTTTTATAATTTTGTATAATGAATGTTTATGAAGCCATGTAGGGCCTTATTATATTATACATTATTATAAGAGACAGGTATGAAAAACATAACTATGGGAGACAAAATCACAGCAAATATAATACTTTAAGTTTGATAGATAAAATATTTATCAAACGTATTTGATAATATATATAATGTAAATGAAATATTTATCAAATTATGCCTGAGGTCGCAATTTTTTTAATTTTTGCAATCAGACCTTGGCAATGACCTTGAGCAGTAGGGTATTAAAATCTTCCACAGGCTTAGCGTCCCAATAATGGAACACTAAGCATAAATGGATTAACATTTGTTTATAGAACAGCTATTTGCCAGGCACTTTTTAAAACACAGAGAAAATATAAGGAATGGTGTCTGATCTCTGGGAACTCAGTCTGTTAAAGAAAATGAAATTGCTAAAATAGAAAATCAATGAGTGAATATATGCCAAATGGTACAATGCTGACTATTAAGGTAATACAAATTTAAAGAAGGGAAAGAAAAGACTGAAATAAGTTAGAGAAGACTTTTTAAATATAATCATCATTTATAGAGTCTTTCCTTTATACCAGGAAGGCATTGTGGTTGTAGGAATTCTTTCTCTGAGACACGGTAACATGCAGCTTAATTCTAGGAAGTAAAACAAACAAATGAACAAAATAAAAGAACTAAGTTAAACAGTGGAGCCACTTAATGACCTCTGAAGGTCAGGCAGAGGACTTTGGGTATTGTAATAGCTAACAGGGAGCCATAGTAACATCTGGAGCAGAAGAGTGGCACCATAGACATAGCAGATGTTTAGGGAAGCGAGTCTTCCTTACAGGCTAGAAGAAGTCTGGGGACTAAGTAAGATGGAAAGAGAAAGTCAAAGACATCAAAGGCACTAGCTAAGGTTAACATTTTATAAAATACTGACATAATGATGCTGATGATAGTAACTTTTATAATATGTATTAGTAGCTGAATTAATATAATTAAACAAGGGGGCAACGGTACAAACTCACAGTTGTGTCCTGCAGTCTCATCATCATGGCTGCAGAAAGAGAAATTTGGAAAAAATAAACAGGACTGGGTTAGAACTTCCAGTCTATAAGAACACACTTTTGTTGTATTTGTAGTATTTGTTGTATTTGTAGTATTGCTGCTAACACCAATACCAGCCTAGAAGAGTTCTTTCTTTAGAATCAGTGTTACACTTGCCTGTGGTACTTCTCTGTTCTTGAATATTGTAACATTTAACAGATATAGACAGCATTTGTGAGAGCAAGTGGTGGGACTCATGTGGATCTAGATAGTGCGCTCTTCAGACGACTGTGTCCTCTATTTCTTTCATGTCCTCATATATCTAGAATCCTACTATGTGCTTATGAGGAATTTATTAACTCATTTAGACTTTTAACTCACTGAAGTAGGGTTGAAGAAAATTCTTTAGTTTTTATAGGATTCAGTTTAGGTGTAGTTTTACCTAAAATCAGGTGCATTGTCTAAGTGTTCTGAATAGCTTCATTCCTCACTTATAAAAATCAGTTGAGCAGCCATGTACATTTATTGAACTCATATGAGACAGGCTCTGTGCTCATGCTACAGACAAAGTAGTGAACAAAACCATACTGGTCTTTGCCTGATGGAGTCTGTAGGCTACTGCAAGTAACAATCATGTTTCATGTAATTAATTGAATTATAAATCACAGGTTTGCCAAGTGCTATGAAGGATATTAATTGAGCTAAGGGAATGTACAATGAAAGACCTAGTCAGAGGCTGACTCTGCTCTGTGGAAAAAAGAATAAAAAAAGAGTATGCAGTCATACTCTTCAGATGTATATAGAGTCAATTTAAAATATTTCATTGTGTATATATACCACATTTTCTTAATCCATTCATCTGTTGGTGAACACTTAAGTTGATTTTATAAGTTGGCTATTGTGAATAGTAGATTTTTTTATAACTTGGCTATTGTGAATAGTGGATTTTATAACTTGGCTATTGTGAATAGTGGATGAATATTTTAGCTAGATTGATTTAATTATTCAACGTTGTATTCATAAATCATAACATCATTTTCTACCCCATAAATGTATACAAGTACAAATTGTCAATTTACAGGAAAACGAATACACAATTTTGAAATATTTATATTGAATGATTTAAGGAAAAAGTGAATATTTAGATGTTTTATCACAGAATGAGGCTGGTGAAGTGGATAAGGCTATAAAGCCCCTCAGAACCCCTAAGCTGTTTGACGAGACAGGGAAACTTCCTCAAGAGAGGAAAACCAAACCACAAATTAGCAGTCGATATGTCATTGTGTCACAATGACGTGGAGATGTATGGGATGTAGATTGATCCCACATCCAATGAAATTGTTTGACCCCCAACTTAAGGATTCATCATGTAGAGTAAACATGGGCAAGGGTTTTAGTCTTTCTGCAGATGAGCATTTCAGAGCAAGCTGTGCAAACAGAGATTTAGGAAGGGCACCAAGGTTCAAACAAGAAGTTAATTCACAAACACCGCCACCCTCATTATTGGGATTATATGTCCTGGACATTGAAAAACAACATTTGAAAAGGCAGGACAAGTTAGGTTTGGTTTGGTTTTGTTTTTTTCTCAGCATTTACCCATGAGTCTAGTGTGGCCACTCTATGTATCCTCTTATCTCATGGATTGGAAACTAGTCCCCAGATTGTCATTAAAAAAAAAATGGAGGATATATACTGTCTGAACAGTGGTGGTGAGATATAGGTTGGATCTGAAGGAAACATTACTGGAACATTTTATATTTAATATTTTCTTTAATGATGTTAAAGAAGGCATTCCCTTGGGGAAATAAATGTCTTTTGCAGATGATGCTAGAAAGAACGCTAAAACACAAATTAGAAAAGCATATGCAAACCTCAAGAAACTTCACTTAAAGGTAGATAACAGAATGAGGTTCATCTTGGAAAAATGCAGACTAATAGTAACAATACCTTTGGGAAAGAATAATCTACAACACAGATACTCAGCCAGTGAGTGGGCGAGTTCTGGGCAGAATGCTGAGCTGGCTAAGAGGTGAGAAAAGTCAATGTTTGCAACACGATACTGTAGGAAAACAGACCAGCATAGTTGGAGCTGGCGTAGACACTGCCACCTCGAGTTTACACAGAGAGAGAGCAAAGGCTTTGGTGTCTGATACTTTCTCACCAATATTCCTTGATAGAGATTTGTTGATATTTCTATCATTTAATATTTGTAAACATAGGCATCAAATAATTTCAAATACCACAGCTAGTATTGAGGAAAAGCAGACAGATAATAGGGACTTTTCATTTTTCGACAAGGTATTTTTTAAATTGTCCAAATATTTCACTGTGGAATGATGACTAGAGAGAGAGGAAATATCAGCTGTATTTTTTTTTCTTCCTCTTGTTCCTGATCAAGGGAGGGTTTGATGAAAATGAAGCTGAGAAGAGAAAGGATGTCTAAGGATGGTTTATAAATTGACCATAAATGTGTGGTTTATAAAATTAGCCAACCCTAACTAGAAGTTTCTTGGGGTCCGTGAATATCTATAAAAACGTCTAGAATCTCCACCAAGAAAAAATGGAAAATAATTTATTCAATTGGAATATAAAAAATACACCAAGCATTAAGTTTATTTCAAAATACATACATCTATGATTGATTACATAGTAAGCATATCAGGATATTAACAGTATATTGAAGTTATTATTAACCACAGTTTTTATTATACTGGTGCTGGGCAGAAGTTTGGTTAGTAGAATGCACTGCTTTATTGAATCTGAAGTAAACTGGTATTTCACTAATAGTATTTAAATTCAAGATAACAGACTTACTTTTAAAGAATCAAAGAATCTTTTCCAAATTGCAAACATGATGTTAAAGGATTTTATTGGAGGGAGGGAGACTGTGAGAAGGATACTGGGAATTTCTGTAAAAATTATTTGAGGGCAGGCACAGCAGCTCATGCCTGTAATCCCAGCACTTTGCGAGGCCAAGGCGGGTGGATCACCTGAGGTTCAGGAGTTTGAGACCAGCCTGACCAACATGGCAAAACCCCGTCTCTACTGAAAATACAAAAATTAGCTGGGCATGGTGGTGCATGCCTGTAATCTCAGCTACTTGGGAGACTGAGGCAGGAGAATTGCTTGAATCTGGGAGGTAGAGATTGCAATGAGCTGAGATCTTGCCACTGTACTCCAGCCTGGGTGACAGAGCGAGACTCCGTCTCAAAAAATAAAAAAAAAATTATCTGGGAGTCCACAGAGGAGAGTGTATCATAAACTATAAAAATAACAGACAGATGTTCAAGATTGACCTGTGCTTGCAAATCAATTAACTGTATGACAATCTTCCTTTTTTTTTTTTTTTTTTTGAGATGGAGTCTCGTTCTGTCACCCAGGCTGGTATGTAGTGTTGTGGTCTCTGCTCACTACAACCTCCGCCTTCTGGGTTCAAGCGATTCTCCTGCCTCAGCCTCCCAAGTAGCTGGGATTACAGGCGCCCACCACCACGCCCAACCAGTTTTTTTATTTTTGATAGAGCCATTCACCATGTTGGCCAGGCTTGTCCTGAACTCCTGGCCTCAAGTGATCAGCCCACCTTGGCTTCCCAAAGTGCTGGGATTACGGGTCTTAGCCACCACACCTGGCCTGAAAGTCTCCTTTGATACAATTGTGGATCAGATACGGACGCTGTGGTCTGATCTTAAGTTCATTTTCACGGACATTTTGTGAGAGCCTATTATGAGCCAGGCATTGTGCTAGGCATTAGAGATACAAAATGATCAGAATGTGATCATTGTCTGACAGAATGTGATCAGTGTGTCACAGATCATCACAATACAGATAAGTGCAGTGAAAGAGGTCAGGATAGGGTGCAATACAAAAGGCAAGGAGAGAATTCTCCCCAGAGCATAGAAGTGGGTGATGGGGAGGTGGAGGACAGGGAAAGAGTGATGCCTAAGTTCAGAAAAAACTGTGAATTTTCACCCCATTAATAACAAATATAGAACAAACATGATCATGTTAAGAGCAAATACTAAAATTTTTAAAAACCCTGATTTCCATCTTCTAATCTGATTAATGAAACGAATGGTATATACATACACACACACACACACACACATATGTATATATATTTAAAGCTACAACAAGTACTTGTTATTCAGATCCTTAGATTGTTCTCAGACATAAAATTCTTGGAATTTGCTCAAACTCATGCCAAAGCTTATTTTTCAAACTCAGGTTTGATTTACTGTTATTCTTATCTTCCAGGAAAGTGATGGATTGAATGTTTAACATACAATGTTGATAATAGAAATGTATCAGAAGCCAGTCTCCCTAGTCTGTTAGAAGTAATTCCACAGAATTTCACAGAGCTTATAGATCAACTGGGTTTTCATTTGCATGTGCTTTCTCTACACAATCAATGCAGTGTGCAGTTTGCATATGCAGAAACTATCTCAGTTTCTGCTTTTCCCTTCCATCTCATTTGGCAACAAATTTAGATGTCTCTGAAGGCTACATCCTTTTGTTGCTGAACACTTGAGTTGCTTGGGCACTTGCAGTTTGTTTTACCTCAACGATTGTCTTAAAAATCCATTTTATCAAGAAGGATTTTTAGAAGTCATTGAGTTCTGTCGTCCCTGACTGGTAATGCATTCAGAAGAAATGATGTTGGGGTTTTCTAGCAGTGATTCCATGTGTTAGAATAAGTATCATTTCCCAGAACCTTAGTGGGAAAAGAGGTCTTTGATAATCACTTAATTACATTCCTTCATTTTATCACTGAGGAAAATGAGACCCCGTAAAGCAAAATAGCGTGTCCATGTGCAAACAGCAAGATACCACAGTGCCGAGAGAGGGCGTTTGCCTCCCTTTTCCCAGTTCAGGGCACCTTACGTCTTGAACTTTAATCTACATCCACATCTCTTAGGGATCTTGTTAAAATGAAGCTTCTTATTCCATAGTTCTCGGCTGTGGCCTGCGTTTACACTAGCACACTCCTAGGAAATGCTGATGCTGTCAGTTCTAAGTAATAACAGGGTCTTATAACACTAAGAAACAATGCTGAGAAAATTCATCTCCCAAATGAAGACAAACACTAGCAAAAGGATAGTTCTGGTTGAGAGGTAGCTGCTATTTCCAAAAAATGACTTTCATACCTCAAGTAGTTCTGGTGTTAGTGCACCCAGTTTTCCGTATGATTTTATGATAGAGATAAGCCATCATCTTATGCTAGCTTCCTAGGAAACATCATGTTAGAAATTCATAGCAGTTAGAAAATTGATTGGGTAGGATTTCTGACTCCCTTTACCTAGTTGTCTTGTGCCTTCTGATCACAGAACTGGTTATAAGATGCCTAATGACAATTTCCTTATAAATGCCTTCCTTCTCTTAAGGAACTCGTGATTCCTTAGCTATTTGTTAATTTAATGATTCTTACTAACGTAAGGGCATTTCCTGCCTTGAGCAATTGTGTGGTGTGTGTGTGTGTCTCTCTTACACATACACAGCGTGTTCACATATCTTATACTATGTTCTTTTGTAAGAAACAAATGGATTATTTGTGCTCAGTATGAGAATTTTAACTTTTATCAAGAATTCAAAGAAGCAGGATGGAATGATAATTACTGAATACATCATTAATTCTGGAAACACCTGCTTTAATTATAGGGTTTGTCTATATGAACTTATAGTCCTGGTAGAGAAACAAATAAAAACCCTATTTACTTCAGAAATAATTTTGTCAAATAAGTTATATGAAAAAAGTTCCCATGTGTTTTTTCTTATATACGTTCAGTAAGAATGTGAAGACATTCTTATTGAAGCATATGAAATGGCGTCTTTTTGAGAAATGACCCAACCTCTTTTTTTTTTTTTTTTTTTTTTGAGACAGAGTCTTGCTCTTGTCTCCCAGGCTGGAGTGCAATGGCACGATCTCAGCTTACTGCAACCTCTGCCTCCCGGGTTCAAGTGATTCTCCTGCCTCAGCCTCCTGAGTAGCTGGGATTACAGGCGCCCGCCACCACACCCAGCTATTTTTCATATTTTTAGTAGAGACAGGGTTTCGCCATGTTGGCCAGGCTGGTCTCAAACACCTGACCTTGTTGTGATCTTCCCACCTCAGCCTCCCAAAGTGCTAGGATTACAGGCATGAGCCACTGCGCCCGGCCAAGCTTATACTTCTTATTGACATGTTTCTCAAGGTAGCTCTTCCTCTATTCCCTGCAGCAAAAATATTCTAAACAAAAATAATCCGTTTACTTATATGAAGGTGTTTCCAAGAGTTTGAAAGAGCTGTGTCAATATAAGATGTTTGTTGTTTAAGCTTAAACACATACTCACAGGGCAAAAAATCTGAAACTGCTAGTATTTTATCGCGCAGGCTATTTTCATAAAGTAGGAGAATTACATATACCAAGTCACTTGGTGAATTGGTTTGAAGGGAAATGAAATTACCCCTATATTGGTAACAAGGAACAGTTTTGTTCATATCTCTTTGATGCCAAAAATATAGTATGTATTCTTATTTACTCTGTAGTGAAAAGGGTTGTGTAAAAATCACTAGGGATGAGCTACCAGAGCTAACTTGGATAGGCTCTTTGCTTGATGGTTGCTGTATAGATGAACTATTAATAATAATTATGATGATGGATGTTGAGGATTCAAAATGATGGTCTTTCTATCTGTAAGTATATTGCTTCCTAGAACCTTTCAGTGGCCCTTTTTATTAGAGGATATACTGGTAAAATCAATCCTACTTAAAATGCTTTAGTTATTAGAGTAACAGCAACAGCAACAACAAAAAAGTGGTAATTATAAAGAGCTTCCATATTTAAGCACAGCCCCATTGCATGACCTTAAGAACAATATTATATCAAGATTCTAGAATTTTGATAGTTAAATATATGTGAGTGAATAACATGAAAAATGTTATACAGTTTTAAAAATAGTTTTTCCTTAAATGCAAAATGACATGTATTAAGTAATTCTGCATAAGAATAACTGATCTAAATTTTAAAATGTATTTGTCTTTGATTTGGGATAATGCAATTAAGTGAAATTTGTCTTGATAAAAATCTGCTTCTAGTATCTTTGAACATTAAAAACAAGAGTTTATTTGTAATGTCTTTTTAAAAAACAGGGAATGTAGTTTTTCTTGTCAATAATCATTATAGTGTGAAAGTACTTGACTTCTATTGTTTAATGACTTAACTTGTAACATAAAACACCCATGAAATAAATACACAATTGAAATAAGTATATAAAAGAAAAAGCTCAAGATCATTTATTGATAAGAGACAGGGATGGAATCATGTTAGCGCTTATCAAAACCAGTGTTTCAACATAGTGAGAATCAATGATCAGTGGCAAATAGGGTCATGCCAAAGGGAAATTGACAGCTCTCCGGGCCATGCTGCCTCTTATTCCACATTTCAACTTCACTCTAGTTAAATTTCAGTTAACCAATCATTTGAAGACTGAAGCAAACAACAACAAAAATCTGTAACCCACAGTTTTCGTGGGACATGGTTTTCTAAATGTTGTGTCTTTTCTTTTCTTTATATTGCTTGGTACCAGATCATTTTTAGGAATCTCCATATTCCATAGGAGGAAAATTGCCAGTCTGAAAGCTCAGTGTCTTTAGCATTTTTTTTTTGCTTACCACATTTTTGCCCTCTAGGTGCCAACCTGGATTCACTGGAGCAAGATGTACTGAGAATGTGCCCATGAAAGTCCAAAACCAAGAAAGTATGTCAAAATAATCTGAAATTTGCTTTCTCCCCCAACTACAGCAACAATCACTACCACTTGGTGCTTTTACAGCTCAGTCGTAACTGATTCATTTTGTTCTAATTATGGCTTAACCTCTCAAGGCATAAACCCATTCAGTGTTACCTTATTTAACTGTCTCTCAAAGTGGGTCCCTAAGTCATCAATTTACAAGAATGGCCAGTCACGATGGCCCGTGATGCTGACAAACTATTGCAGGCAAGCCAACCGAGAAACATTTTCTTCCAACGTGTGTGACCAAAGCCATCATATGGAAAACTGAGATGAATAAAACATCGGATTTCATTTTAAGGGGTTCCCTTTGAAAGAAGGCAACCACTTAAAGTGCTGGGATCTTTCCACCATACCAACTTAAGAACTGCATTCTGTCCAAATTTTTAACCATTTGGGGGAAGTGCCAGAGCCTGAAAGCCATGATCAGGGCAAAGATTCAGTTCCTGAGGGTGAACTCACCAAGTTTCAGTCAAATGACACTGAAGGAGCTTCTTTCTAGCATATATTCACCTCTTCTCTTTTTCTCTGTTTTTCTACCATTGTTTTTTTGTTTCTTCTCTCAGGTGCCCAAATGAGTTTACTGGTGATCGCTGCCAAAACTACGTAATGGCCAGCTTCTACAGTACGTCCACTCCCTTTCTGTCTCTGCCTGAATAGGAGCATGCTCAGTTGGTGCTGCTTTCTTGTTGCTGCATCTCCCCTCAGATTCCACCTAGAGCTAGATGTGTCTTACCAGATCTAATATTGACTGCCTCTGCCTGTCGCATGAGAACATTAACAAAAGCAATTGTATTACTTCCTCTGTTCGCGACTAGTTGGCTCTGAGATACTAATAGGTGTGTGAGGCTCCGGATGTTTCTGGAATTGATATTGAATGATGTGATACAAATTGATAGTCAATATCAAGCAGTGAAATATGATAATAAAGGCATTTCAAAGTCTCACTTTTATTGATAAAATAAAAATCATTCTACTGAACAGTCCATCTTCTTTATACAATGACCACATCCTGAAAAGGGTGTTGCTAAGCTGTAACCGATATGCACTTGAAATGATGGTAAGTTAATTTTGATTCAGAATGTGTTATTTGTCACAAATAAACATAATAAAAGGAGTTCAGATGTTTTTCTTCATTAACCAAACAGTTTGCATTGAGGCATTTTTTTAAAAAAGCATCAAGTAGGAAAATTAAAAACAAACATTTCACAGCAAATGAGATATCCTGGCTTCTGTTTACGTTGCTTAGGGAACAAGTAATTCAGGCACTAGTTTAAACAATTATTTATTTATGTTACCATTTCTTTATGTTAGTTTCAAAAGTAACTTAGAATAAAATAGTTACTGTTATTTGTTTAAATATTTATTTTGAGATATAACAACTCAACTATAGGATAAATATGTGTTTGTATATATATATGTGTGTGCGTGTATATACATATATATATAAAACTTAAGGCAAAACATATATATATATATATATATATAAAACTTAATAACTTAAGGCAAAACTGGGAAGTTTGGATAGATGTTCGTGGCTTCCTGAAGTTTTGAACATCATTCCTAAAAGACCCAATTCACATTGTACATAATTATATAAACCAAACCATGTATTTGTCCTATTGTGAACTGGACACATATAACTTCTGATCCTGGAGCTTTCAAAATATTGCATTTAAAATGCATATCATGTAGTTATCCTTGTAGATGAAAGAATGGCAATTTTTTTCTGTAAAGGTTCAGAGAGCAAATATTTTAGGATTTGTGGTGACACCATCACTGTCACAACAACTCAAACCTACTATTGTAGCATGAAAACAGCTGTAAACAATGCATAAAACTGATGTGCATGGGTGTGTTCCATTAAATCTTTATTTACAAAAGCAGACAGTGGGCTGGATTTGTCAACCACTGATTTAGATTGTCAATTGCTCACCCCGAAAAATATGTCACATAGCTTACTGCAGTTTAAATTCACCTAACATAAGAAACAGTGATGTAAGTTGGTTATTTAGGGGTCCTAAAAGAATCAGATTTACCCTTGTTCTGATGCATGCAGAGAATAAGTTTCTGTAATTCCTGTTAACATAGAAGTTTCCAGAATAAATTCTATAATGTATAATGTTAAGATTAGACCCGTAATGTGCAATCATTTATTTAGGGAGGTAGTATTTATTTATTTACATAGGCTACATATCAAAGACAACTTCGTAGGCCATTTTCTGTTGTGAAAAATTAGTAAATTGGCATTGCAAAATTTCCAAACAGCCTTCACTTTATTCACAAACATTTAAGTAATATGCATTTAGTAGGGAGAATTTTTCTATCCACAGCTAAAGCAAATAGCTTGATTTAATTTTTAAGTTAATTTTTTAAAGCTAGGATAGAAAATAAAAATAAAAGGGAAAAATAGAATGTTATTTAATACCTTAAAGCATTTCTCTTAGAAATGTGTATTTGTATTTAAATAACATAGACTCAGCAAATCCATGTGGCTAGATAAATGCAGTAAAATCATATTTTAGACTTTAATGACAATTCTGATCACTTAATTAAGTTACACTTACATTTTTGGTGTTAAGAGTTTTACTGTGCTTTGAAGGCAATGTTCAGGCACTATATAAATAAAAGCATTAAAAATGAAGCTATTTCCCAGCATAATTATGTAGTTAGATCTGACAGTAGTAACCAGAGAAAATATTTTCAACTTCTCTTTTAGACCATTTGCTTTTTCAGAAGATATCATTTTAAAATAACCACTATGTTTTTGTGAAGTTCAGAGTGTGATTCCTTAAATAACTTCTTTAGTATGCTTTCAATGCCACTTTTGGACGACATCCAGGAAAGCAGCATTCATATTTAACCTGATTTAACAAAGATTGATTGCACATTTATGAACAATATATGTAATGGCTGTGCAACAGAGATGCCTCATGTCTGGAAAAGCAAGAGCTTCCAATCAGAAATTGCTTTCCAGTGTTGTCTTACCGAGAGTTTTTTCAATTTTTATCTCTGCAAACCCCTACATAGAAGTCAGAAAAATAAATTTGTGCTGCTCTAAGAACTTTATGTTCAAGTAGCAGTGAAAGCCAGAATAAAGATAGAGAATGTCACCATAGTGACCGTTTTAAAATTTAATTGTTTGTAGTCTTAAAGTCTGGAAAACATAAATTTTGAACACAAACTAGGAAAAGATAGTCCCCAGCTTCAAAGAGAAACATTCAAAACTTACCAAACTGCATTTTCAGTTGAAAAATAACATTCTAAAGAATAGATAATTTTTTAAGTTTATTAACATAAAACTTACATTATTCAGACTTGATACAGTGATTCTGGTCAGAATGTCCAATGAGCCATTTACTGATTTATAAAAACTGACTTAAAATATGAAAGAGAGGGACAAATGTATATTTTATAAGGCAGTCATTTGCCTTGAAATAAAACATTATATTTATAGTACTTTCTAGGAAAATATTGTCAAGGTTAGTCAGCTTCAAATTTGACCTAACTTGACACAGAATTCCTAGTTGAAAAAAATTGTGTTCATCGATATGTGGTGTGTGGGGGGTGTGTGTGTGTTCGTGTGTGTGTCCACACGTATGTGTGTGTATACAGGCACTCCATAATCAATGTACAGATTTTAGGGAGGAAAAAAGAAAAAGCACCCACACTTTCAATAGTTAGGGGCAGTACAGAGCAGGTATGTCATATATAAACTAACATAATAGGACCTAATTATAGAATAGCTCAAATTTAGAATATTTTAAAAGATTGTAATTTTAGAACTTTTAGGAATATTCTCACACTGAGTAAATTTAGCAGATATCCTTAAAAGTAGTTTTGAATCACAGGTTACTAGTGCATCCATCATTTGCATGGATTTCTAAATGCAACCTGTTGAAATTATTCTTGTTCATCAAACATGTATCTTGCTAAAAGTAGAATAGAGGAACACTTCACCTGTGACAAAATTGCCATAAATTCCAGCCAAGTGTTAGTGAGATTTTACTGTGTGTGTGTTTGTGAGTGTGCTTATGTGCACATGGAATTTGAAACTTAAGGAGAAAGTCTCCGTTAACATTTCAAAGGGCCCAGTGACACTACGGATTGGCATATGTGAAAAAAAACAGTATCTCCATTTTATAAAGGTAAGTCTAAAATTAAAAGACAGACACTAAATTGGTCCTGTTTAGAATTGGCATTGACAGAACTCCTTTCGAAATCTCAGCGGTACAGAAAGTCAAGACTTTAAGATTTTAAGTCTTTGAAATGATTAGCATAAACAGGCCCAAGATGTTAAAGAGAAAAATCCTAAATGTCTTCAAATTTTAACAGGAACCACAATTGCATGGATATATAATTTTTGTAAAAGAAAGTTGTTCTATTGTTCTTTCCTTTAATGCAATTGAAAATTTAAATTAACCTACAGGTTAATCAGTTTTCCTCAAGCAATTATAAAATCCTAAGACAAAGGATTCGTGAGTCAATATTTAATAGTTTCTGAAGACTTTTAGATTTAAATTAATTTTTTATATTGCTCAGAGCACAGCAGGAAATCACATGTAGAAAAGGAAACTAGATTGTTTACAGTAAACTTTGTGTTTTTGAATTATTAATTTAATTTGAAAAATGTAGTGGCTAGGCAGAAGTTCAATAGGAAGCATGTGATTCTTAATGAGTCCAGGCCAACATTAGATTAAGTAGAACAGATAGAAAGTAATAACCTTTTCATAAAATGAAAAGTGTTCGTGTATTCTGCTTTTTTTTTTTTTTTTTGACTTACAATGAAAGAAATGTAGCTACCAATAGTAAAAATGAATTAGAGCATTATTTGCTCTGGGTCTAGTATGACTGATGCATGTTCCCTCTGCTTGTTTCCTTGTTAGGGCTTATGGCCAGAAGAGATTCCAGTTTTAAGTACCAATTTCCCATTGAATTATTTGAAATTGGAGCTGCCTGATATGAATGACTTCCCGTGAAATGAAATTATAGTTAGGCTGACAGACTTACCTATAAAACTGTAAATGCAGTAATATGTATGCATGGGCATGCTACTAATTTTATTGAAGACTTAACCAAGCTTTCTATGCAACTAATATAGATCATGAGCAGTGTTCATGTAGGCATGGAGTCCTGACTCTCTGGAAAGAGTTTCTGTAGACATCGCTTGATTTTAACCCTTAAATTATTACTGACTGGTAGGAGAAAAAGGCAAGGGAAGGGAGGGGGCTCTAGAAAGAAAATCTGGGTCCCACCTTCATGGAAATGAGTAAGGAAATTTATTATTGACTTCCTTGGAAAATGAATGTTTTCACGTGGATGTTCCAAAGTTTGTATTAAGAAAGCAAATGGGAAAAAAAATGACCAATTTTTGACCAATTGAGTGTTGCACGGAGGCAAGAGAAATTTATCTGGATTTGAATAAATTATTTTGCTGTGAATATTGTGCAACCAAGTTAATCGTAACTAAATCCCCTAGCTTTTAATTTATGAAAAATATAGCTTATTTGCTTGTGTACACTGGACCCAAGGCAGAGGAAATTATTATATATAGTGCTTCCCATTATCCTTGTTATGCAATGTACTTTTTGATATATGTGTTTGTGTGCATATATGTGTGTGTGTATATATATATATATATATATATATACTTTAAAAAATCTGGGGAGCTTTATTTCCTTAAAGGGCAGCAAGTTTTTAAGTTTTCAAGTATCCCCGGAGCTTACAGAGTTTTTCTGGCTAGTTAACGAGAATACAGTAAATGGCCCAGGGTACATCTCTTGATGTGTCTGCTACCCAAGCTGTTAAACCCTTCTGCTGTTTGCCAACATATTTCACGTCTCCTTTACTCCCCAGGCATGCCCAGTGAGGCATGTGTTTGCATAAGAAATATTTTGTTAATGAAAAATTAACATGTCCAAAGTCACTAAAAAGTTCCACGGCAGAGGCAGGACCCAAAACCAAGATGATTCCAGCACACTCATCTCCTGCTTTTTCCCTCTCTATATGAGGTACTTTTTCCATGCCCAAATGCAAGTTTTTGTAAGAGAAACACCCCTCCACAGCATTTTCTTCACACTTAAGAGATACCTTGCCATATCATTGAATAGCCCTTGTATCTCTCGAGGCAGTGATCAAAGAAAGAAAATATAGATCTCCATTGATATGCTGTCTCTCCTTCCAACCTGCTTCTTGACCACACACATAGGCGCATGTACACGCGCGCGCGCGCACACACACACACACACACAGAGAGAGAGAGAGAGAGAGAGAGAGAGAGAGAGAGAGATAAAGGAAGTCCTAGAGCCTTCCGCATCATGAAATTTGATTATCAGTTTTGGTTTTGAGAATGAAAAGTGTCATCCCTGGAGATTTTTTATTTTTTTTATTTTTTTGGGGGGCTTGTTTTCCCCCACTTCCTCAATGGAGCCTCTGCAGGTTCTGCTGTTCTTGCAATCCTGGAGTCTCTGGAGTCCCAGCTGCCAGGATTGCTGGCTCTTGGCTCATACCTTTGAGTCCACTTCCCTGGGCAGCCCTGCAGGTCCTCCAAGTGGCTGTGTGCATGGGAGTCCAGCATTCTGGAGAAGTGATTTCACTGGCTCTCTGTGATTTAAAGGAGTAATAAGATGAAAAACCCTAGGAATTGGATCTTTCCCACTTATTTTTTTCCTTACAGTTTGAAAAAAGTGAGGCGTAGAATTGTCCTATGCCATACAGAACTTATATGAGAAAAACTAGAAGGAGTCTCCAGTGTCCCAAGCCCCTGTTTGGGGTTTTGGGGCAGAAGCATTTGTTGCTTTCTGTGAATGAAACAGACAAGTGATGAGGAAAGTGGAAGATTAGAAGAAGTAAAAGAGATACAGCTAAGAAAATAATTAGATAACCAATGAGCAAGAAGTATTTGAGGCCAGCTACCCACAATCAAAAATCCAAGTCCAACCTGATAACATTTTCAGACCAAATTACCATCCTCTTGGCTTCTGCTCCTGCCTCTGCCAATGGGTGTCTTTGGGTAAAAATTAATTAATTAATTAATTTAATTAAATAAAATTCACCTCCTTGGAACTTTGCTTCTGCCTTTTAAAAAAAGGAATGAAATAGTATCAAATGCCTTTTCTGATTATAAAGATAATCTTTCCATTCCCACACAAGGAAATAATTTAGGGGATAGTTCAGCGACAGAACTTCTCCCTCAGTAAGGTCTTTTAAGGGTTAATAAAGACACAGTGTGCTGGTATTTTGCACACCTCATAAAAAGAGACGTTCCCTATGTGAACTCACAGAGGCGTACCTGAGCACTGCTTCTTAACCACACACCATTTGTCTGGTTCAATGTGCATGCACAGAGAGCCATAATAGTCATGTGTAATGTGTTTTGGAGTGCAGTGTATTGCTCTTTTCTGAAACTTTTTCCCTTTCTTTCTTTTTTTTGTCAACTTTCTGCATTGGCAGAGCATCTTGGGATTGAATTTATGGGTATGGACCAATCATCATTCCTTTTAGCCTGCAGAATTTAGAGCCTATGAGCTGAAATCTTTTTCCCTTCCTACTCTTACCTTTCAGTTCCTAACTAATTTCCTTTTTCTTTAGAAGGGATCATACAGCTATAACAATGATTTCTCTGCCTTCAATCTATGATTAGTTTACTGAAATGTTACTGAGTGCAGCAGGTTTTAGATTCCTAAGCATCCTTCACTTAGAGTTTAAAAGTACCCTACCTGCTGCAAATTCACATATATCCCACGCTGCTTAACCCACTGATTGGATCTAGCTCTGCTGTTATATAAAAGCTGGGGTAAGTAGTAGTAGCACATAAAGGATACAGGGGAAATCCACTCAGAGACCTGAGAACAAAGGCTTTTTAAATCCATCTGCTTAAAAAACACACAGCATCTTAGCCTGGTAGGATTTTTGGCATACAATGTAAAAATCATCTATTTAATATAAGCAATGTAATGTATATAGAAAGCCCTTACGTTACAACACAATATTAAATGCACAGACTTGAATTACTCAGATTTTCTGGAGATACTCAAGCACCACCCTAGTCAACTTCATTATCTTATAAGAAGGAAATAGAAAACAGAAAGAAAGCAGCCTTGTGCTATTTTAGGTGGAGATTCCAGTGGTAATGGAATTAAATTTGAGTCATGAAGATTATCCAGACAAGTAATCAAATAGAAAATTTCACACTGTCAAAGTAAAAGAAAAATATATGAGTATACAAAATTTGGACACACTTTTTTGTAAGGCCTTCATCCTACATAGTTGGGATTGAAGACCAGTCTCTGGGGAGTAAGGAGCTGTGCTACCTTCCCAGAGACTCCACAGGGCCAGGCCAGTCAGTCTTTTTCAATGCTGCCTGCAGTCCCGGACCATGGTTGGGTCAGTGACACAATGTCCTGATTCACAGAATATCTGGTCCCCATCCAGCTGGCTTCAGGGACATCATGCAGCAGGGGCATCCTACAGCTGCTGCCTTCTTTTGGATGATAACATCACAGGCTGGACATAATGTAGTTTCCAGACTTTGCGGGAAATGAGGCAGTTGCAAGCTCTAGCAGCTACAGGGATTGCTCAATGGGTTGCCCATTTCTTCCTCAAAAAAAAAAAAAAAAAAAATCAGGAGTAAACTACCAATTTGATGAGAAGCCCCCAGGTGCACGTGAATGGGCCTTTGTGCCTCGCAGAACATCTCCAAAGAGGGAGAAACACAAGGGGGAGCACCTCTATTACTAGGGAGCACGTTGTGTACTGAGGGGAGCTATCTATTGGAGTTTCTTCCCTCAGGGAAAAAAAAAATTGTCCCACTTATGAAATGGATTATTGGCCTATCCTGCAGGGAGGGAAAAAATTCTACCATTACCCCAAACCCTTCTATCCTTAACAGCATATTTCTCATTTTTATAGCTGGAGGGTCTGACTATAGAATGTATTGTTTCTGTCCCCAACAGTAAAGTGAAAGACAGTTGAGATATATAACTTCCCCCTCAGTAAGATCTTCTATGGGTTAGAAAAGACACAGGGGGCTGCTATCCGCATGCTTCTCAAAGGTACAGTTTCCAGAGGCTCATAGTTCCAGGCTTGCCGGTGTACTAAACCAGAACATTGCATCCTTCAGGAAAATCAGACCTTAAAGGTCAAGTACAACTCAGAAAGGTAAGGGCTCTGTTTCTTGGCCAGGCCAGATCAGACTGAAAAATGTGCTTGATCTGGAAACATGTTAGTCCAGCCAAACCATGAAGACTCTGGGGCATTTGTGCTCATTGAGAGACAGACCCACCGATCGGAATGACAGACTCTTGTTTTTAGCCCTGTCTGTCTCTAATTTGCTCTTCCCCAGTTGACCTGACACATAAGAAAAAAATTAATATGGGGAAAAAAGAGGTTAAAGAATCCATTGTTTGTATTATTTTTCACCAAGTATTTTTCCTTGATCACATTCATAGTGTGGGATCACCTGATTGAGCCAAACCATGAAAAATTCAAATAGCAATGAGGATAAGGGTTGTAGTGCATCTGGTCAATGCTGATGTGAATATAAGATTTTAATCCCACGTCTGTATTCTATGGGCCTTCGCTTGAATCAGCTCATTCTAGTGCTGTTACATTACCCTTTGGCCTTTACTGAGCTACCTCTTTATTTCCATGAAATGATCATTTTACTGGAAAATGTGTGTCTTCCTACACTGCATAGAAAGAATGCACCCGTCATCATGCACCATATGTTTCCAAACGCAGCTCAATCTATTCTTCTGTAATTAACAACAACCAAAAGACAACTTGTCCCAAGAATCCCTGAGAGTATGCATGATTCCTTTTTCCCATTTAGCCCTTGTCCATGTCCCCATTTTTGAAGTCTGCAGAAGCAGTTTCCTAGCTTCTTTCTAAAGATAGGATGTTAAGATGTCAGTAGACAAGAATAACCACAGACTTGCCCATCTTCAAAGAAGAAAACAATAGAGGACGGAAAAGAGGACAATCATACAGGGCCTTCATCTCTTGTCAATAATACCTACACTCCTATTTCTTCACCAACTCATCACAGCCCAGGGAGCTGTGCTCTGCATCCTGGGTCCCAGGGAGAGAAGGACCAGTGGGGTGACAGCTTTGCTTCTTAGACATGTATCCTAAAACCTGATCAGGATACCAAGATCAGGAAGAGAGGCTACAGCAGCAGCTTCAACCAGATAACACCCCATAGAAATTAATTCCCTGTCCTGTGGCTATGGGGGAGGGGAGGCAGCAGACATATGCAATTAACATATAAGCACTCACATTCCATGTCCTCATCTGACTTTTGCTGCACACAAAATCCGTGATACCAACTCAATATCTCCTGGTACATTGTTTCACCGCAATGCACCAGCCGCTTCGCTTTCTAATTGTGGCTTCCACATGACTGCTAGATTAGGAGTTATGCTGTATGGAATGACCCTTCCAACTTTGCATCCACCTTTTCTTCCCACCCAAGCATTTCCTCCCTCTGGTTTTCTTTTCTTTCTTTATTTTTCCTCCCTTAGTATCAGGCATGCTGTGCCAGGGACTTCAGATGGCTCCTTAACTTTTAACCTTGTTTTCCCTTCCTCGGTCTCTCTGTCATTCTGTCAGTCTGTCTGTCCTCTTGGTTTGTTTTTCCTTTCCACCTCCAACCCTTTTGATTTGTTTTTGTATACTCTATGCAGCATTCTAGTCCTTTACCCACTGACTTCTCTTTTCCTTCTCCTCCTGTTAATAATCAGTGCTATATTAATTTGATTTGACAATGTTCTTGACCTGTTTACTGGAATTTGATTATCATGGGCTCGGCTTGTAGGAAATGTTTTGTTTCATGATAAGGTCCACTGTATCCTAGAAATTAAAATTCACTTTTTCATTTCAAGAAAACTTCCTGCAAGCTGCCCTCTCTCAAAAGAGAAAAAGGTGTAGTTAAAGGTGTAGTTGTGCCACTGCAGATATAATATGGAAATATGCTTTGAGGTTCCCTTGTTGATGTCCAGAATAGTCAGCTCTGTTTGTACAGTATTCCCCAGTTCTTGACCAATTTATTGATCATAATGGCAAGTGAACAGCTTACACTGCTTATTTCATACCAGTTGAGTTCTCTTTCTGAGTGAACTTGTGAAGATCTTCCAATAAATGTAATTAGACTCACTGGAAGCTCAGGTCCTTAGGGATCAGAGTCCCTATTAAATCAGCAAATCTTGTTAAGAACCTGACCTACCTTAGTATAATCAACTTATCCCCCAAAGAAACTAACTCGCAAATAGAAAAACTTCTATGAATTAGAGACTGATCGCATTTTGGGTGCAGTAGTATCTTTGGTTCAAAGTTCTAAGTGTCACATTTCCTTAGTATAATCTACATTAGCTCATTTGCCAAGTTGGCCAACGTAGGAATGTGCACTCTATTCCAAATCACACATCATTTGTACTGGTGACTTCTTTGGACAAATAAAACTTGTTCCTAAGTACAATTGGTGGAGTAGTTAGAATTGTCTTCCAAAGGACAAGTCACCATTTGGGCCCATAACTGTCCTACCCATCACATAGGATTTTCTTTGATACAGTGCCCTGCTACCTCATATTGTATTGCTTCTTGTGTTCACATTTTACTGTTAAATCACAGAGAGCCTGACTCAATTTACTAGTTAACTACAAGCCAAGTTCATGTTTGCAAATGTCTTTGAATTTAATATATTTAAGTTAGAAATGACTCTTTGTAAAGACCACTGGATATAAAGTGATGATATAAAATATCTGGGAAATACAAAAAGGCCAGGGGCTGGGGGATAAAGAGGGGAGGAAGGAGGAAGTGGGGGGCGCCCAGTGATGCCAATTCCATCTCCTTTAATTGGTGTTGATTCCTGTTGTCTTTGCAAGAGCTTTTTATATTTTATTTTGCAAGAGACTACAAAAAAAAATAAAACTACAGAGTTTTAACCAAATAGTTATTTTATAATTAATGTTTATGATTTCCAATTTACTATCAACTATATATATCTCTATAGCTTATAATTAGAAGTAATTTCTGAGTATAATATTTGTATTGTAAATGGCCCCAGCTGGCTTTTTTATATTTATGTTCAAAGCATAGTGCAGAGCATGTTGTACCTTAGCTATGTGTGTAAACGTAAAGAATTGTCATGTATTTATTTTCTTGTGAACATGGACAATGTCATGCAGCATGCCCACTGTTTGGTTGTAGTCAGTCCTGGCAAGTGGAAGTGACCTGTGATGACATCTGCTCTCATCCCTTTCCAGAGGCGGAGGAGCTGTACCAGAAGAGAGTGCTGACCATAACCGGCATCTGCATCGCCCTCCTTGTGGTCGGCATCATGTGTGTGGTGGCCTACTGCAAAACCAAGTAAACCTTCTTTCTCCATGCCTTTCTCTCTCCTTCATGCAGAGACAGCTTAGATGGCCAGGGCTTTGCAGAATCTGAGCTCCACAGCCTAGTCTTGGGGATAAAAAAAAAAGGAGGGGCAGGGGGAGATTATTTCCTCTGAATAATCCATTTTGAGGATGTCTCCTAAACACAGAAATAGAAAGCTGTTTGCCTATTCATGTAAAGATTTCTGTTCAATGACCACAGCCCCTGAGTGGATAAAGGCCTGGAGGGACAGGCTTGTATGGAAGGTATGTGTGTGGGTGGGACAGAATGAAGGCACCTCATTCTAAAAGGAGAGGGAGGGTACCAGAAGTCCATTTGAGGGCTTTAGTATAATTAAGTTATCCCCAAAAGAAACTAACTTGCACCTAGAAAAACTTCTATGAGTTAGAGACTGACTGCATTCAGGGTGCAGTAGTACCTTCAGTTCAAAGGACTACTGAGAACAAATCCAATTTACACTGAAAATTACGAGATAAAGGAAACCTTTCGTGGTATCTGAAATGCAGTTTTCTGAGTTATAGTGATTATTATTATTATTTTTAAATTCTATCTAATTAGGTTGCCAGTATGAATGCTCTCACAGCCTGAGATGTAAAAAAGGAATCTCAGGGGAGGAAAATGAAGCAAAACTTTCTTTGAAAACATAAGAGAGAAAACATTAGAATAGATTTGGGTTCCCTATGTTTGGTCTTGAAGTTTGGTCCGTATTAACAAATTCAATTACTATGTGACATGGATTCTCTTCACTTTTCTCTCCTACATATAACTTACATTTCAAGCCTAATATGTTAAATTAACAAGGTTTTTGAAAAAATGTTGCTGCACGATACTCTGTTGCCAAACCATCCATGGGAATATTTCATAATCTGAATGTTGCATTGAGGAAGAAAAATAATATGCTTTTATGCCACAAAATCCAAAGCATGGATTGTATTTTGTCAATATCCCATGATTTAGTGTGTTGCCAGAATTAAGGGATAGAGATAAGCCTTCCTGGAGTCGACCTGGTGAGTCTCATTAGATTCCATCTCAATATTCGCTGCCTAATTGCACAAAAAGCGTTACCAGAGTAGGAACATGTTACGATTGTGCCAAAATCCGCTGGCAAAATATGTCCACATTCTCACGCGTATACATGGGATACACTCACAAACATGCTAACTGTGTATATTCAAAACTCAGTTCATTTTCTTAAGAGACCCCAGGAAAAGCTATAAATGAAATCACTCTTATAAATTCTACAGCACATTTTTTTTTTTTAGACAGAATCTGGCTCTTTCACCCAGGCTAGAATGCAGTAGCACAATCTCAGCTCACTGCAACCTCCCCCTCCCTGGTTCAAGTGATGCTCATGCCTCAGCCTCCCGAGTAGCTGGGACGACAGGTGCACGCCACCAGCCCGGCTAATTTTTGTATTTTTTGTAGAGACAGGACTTCTCCATGTTGCCCAGGCTAGTCTCAAACTCTTGGACTCAATTAATTCTCTTGCCTTTGCCTCCGAAAGTGCTAAGCTTACAGGAATGAGCCACCCCACCCAGCCCAGCACAAATTATTATCTAAGACAAATAAGTGTCCATTTGTAAGACTTAGGCAAAGATGGATTGATTAGGAAATTTGTGATTTTAGTCAATTATCAAGTTATTTGTGTTATCCTATTTTTTTCTTGTCTCTCAGTAAAACAGCTAAATTTCCATAAGAATCCCAGGTGGCTTTTAAAATCTGTTTGGTAAGGATGTGTGGTTTCACTTATTCTGGGATACAGTGGACATACTCCCTTCCCTCTTCCTCATCACCAGTCTACTGCCTTGAACTACTCATAGGTGTTGGTAGAATAAAGACTTGGCTCTACTATGAAATGAAAATAATCAAAAAAAAATAAATGCTCCCTTTCTTATGTCCAGGAAACAGCGGAAAAAGCTGCATGACCGTCTTCGGCAGAGCCTTCGGTCTGAACGAAACAATATGATGAACATTGCCAATGGGCCTCACCATCCTAACCCACCCCCCGAGAATGTCCAGCTGGTGAATGTACGTTGACTCTGGCCAGTGGAAAAAACTGAGCCTCTCTCCTTTGTTCAGACGCCTTGAAGTTTATTTTCGAAAGCTCTTAAGCTTTTAGCTGCTGCCATTAATCACCATGGCTTCCAGGAATCCAGGTTTTTGCCAGGAGAAAATAATGGGAACATTTTTAAAAGTGGATTTGGTTACTGTAAAATCAGCACATTTCCTCTTATAAAGTGTTCATTAAGGGGTTGGAATAATAGTGTTGGGTTTGTTCTGCAAGGAGGCCATAGCTGGGGCTTGCGTGGAGAGAGTGGGGAGAAAACAAATTTAATAGTACGATAATCAAAAAGAATGTTTTCATATATAACTTGGAAATACAGGCTACTCCATTCTGTAACTGATTAGTACAGATAACCGAGCAAAGAGCTTTAGAGTTATTTTCTTAGGGCAATTCACAGTGCCTGATGATTTACTGGTTATGATTTCCAAAGGATTCTGATTTCCTTTAGGGCGTGGAAAGGTCAAGTGACTTATCAAACACCCTTCTCAGTAGCAAAAGAAGAGTGTCATGCCAGCTTCTTCCCTGGCCCTTTCTAAATGATGTCAAGCCCTCCAGATGAAATATATCCATAATCATTAAAATATTTTTTTCATACTGTACCAAACACTCAGCATTCAGTTTTTTAAATACAACTAGATCATAGAATATTAGGTTCTGGAGAGTTTGAAGATATTATCTTTCAAATCTCTCTTTTTCTTTTTACAGATAAGGGCCAGAGCCGCACCATCTCTTGGCTTTTGGAGTATTGCTCTTTATATTCCAGCATCATCCTTCTTATTTTCAAATTATTGCTCTGATGTATGGTTTTTTTAATACACAAAGCTTGAAGCTTATATTGTAGTACCATTTTCTATCCTATAGAAAAAGGCATATTTTGAATGGAACAGATATATCATAGACCCAACTACAGAGTTGGTGGTTACTAAACTATCAGCAAGTCTTGTAGCAAAAACCTTCAAAACTTTGTTGGAGCAAGGTGCTTATAGGTTAACACACTCTGTTGCCTTTTCACCCTCTAACAGTGTTCATCACAATGTTCTCCACATTTGATAACGATATTCACTACAAAAGGAACTATAATCTGTCACTCTGCATGTTATAATATATAAACGGTAGAATGACTGCCTAGATTACATTTACTGCTCACATTGTGCATCTTTGGGCTTTAACTTTTCTCAACCTTATTTCTTCAATATAAAAACAGACCTAAAAATAATACCTACTTCAGAGACTCCTTGTGAGCCTTAAATAAGGTAATTTGCATAAAACACTTAGTCTAGTGGCATTTAGTGAGTGTTCAATAATTGTTAAGTATTTTTTTCATTAGATTCACTGAGCTTATGTTGCCTTCCAAAAAGCAATAGTGAAATGGTTCAGGGACTGGAAGTAGGTCACTGTGTATCCTTTCCTTAAATCAAGCTAGCTGTACTTCCCAGGAAGATCCACATGGAATAGCCTTTCCACTAAGAGAACCAGCTAGAGTTTCAAGCATAATTCAAGCTGTATATTTTTGGATCTCCCTGAATATATTTAGAGCCCGCAGACCGTCAGATTATAAAGTGCCTTATTTCATCAAAGAGTATTCCTTTCTATTGGTTTTCCTATTATTTAACTCAATTTGGTATAAATACTAACAGCAATTAAAACACAACTTCAAAAAGGGGCCTCCCTCCCTAATAGAAACAGTAAAAACTACTGTGGTTTGCTGATAAAAATAAAGTAGACTCTGACTAGGCATGGTGGCTCACACCTGTAATGCCAGCACTTTGGGAGGCAGAGGTGGACGGATCACCTGAGGTCAGGAGTTTAAGACCAGCCTGGCCAACATGGTGAAACCCCATCTCTGCTAAAAATACAAAAATTAGCTGGGCATGGTGGCATATGCCTGTAATCCCAACTACTCGGGAGGGTGAGGCAGGAGAATTGCTTGAACCGGGAGGTGGAGGTTGCAGTGAGCTGAGATTGCACCACTGCTCTCCAGCCTGGGCAACAGAGTGAGACTCCATCTCAAAAAAAAAAAAAAAAAAAAAAAAAAAGGAGAAGAAAAGAAAAGAAAGAAAGAAGAGAGAAAAGTAGAATCTACCTGCATTAAATAGAAATGTCCTCCATATATTATGTGCTTTGTCAAGATGTGTGCATTGACAACAATTGTTAAGTCCCTTATCAGTAGCCTTGTTAGCCCTACCACTGCTAACAAGTTAAACATTTCAGTGACATTAGTAGGGCAACATGGGCACTAGGAAATGGAAGGAGAAAGGTAGGCCCAACATATAGAGATTCTGAATATTTTTTTCTAGTGCTTTGAAATTTGAAACTATACAAATCACCTGTCTGCTTCTATTTCAAATAGCATTTAGCCTTCTTCACCTTGCAATACCATGAAACAAATGAATGTTGGATGGATATTTGTATGGAATTCTAGTCATTAATTTAAAATAAAATAGAAGAAATAGGACTTTTGCTGATAAAATGTAGTTGGAATGATGGGCCGTACATTGGATGCACATCCAGAGAGTATTTTTTTTTTTAACTCTATTCATCTAATCTAAAAGCCACAGTAGCCAGGACAGGATTTTCCACCTGGCCATTGGGGAAATGGAATTTATTACAAATCAGCTGTACAAAAATAGATTTGTGTGTTTCTGACAGTGTTAACGTTTTTATTTACATGACAATATTAGTGCTTTGATTGACATGAATCTACGTGAATCTTCAAGTTGTGTCTCTTTGTTTATCCAGCAATACGTATCTAAAAACGTCATCTCCAGTGAGCATATTGTTGAGAGAGAAGCAGAGACATCCTTTTCCACCAGTCACTATACTTCCACAGCCCATCACTCCACTACTGTCACCCAGACTCCTAGCCACAGGTATGAGAATTTAAAAATTCCACGGCTTTTCTCTCAGAATGAATTGTTGCACATTGCCTTTTGATATCCCTGCCTAAGAAAGGAGGCAGTGAAATGGATGGTCTTTGGGCAGCAACAGATTTTGAAAATCAACTGGCTTTGCCCTTAATTCCTGCATAAATTTGAACCTCAATTAGGTAACTCCACAGGGCCGTTGTTTCCCATTCCTGAGATTGTCTTTACTCATGCCCTGCTACTCACCGAATTGCTACACTGGGACAAGTCTGTCTTTGGCTCTGCAAAATACTTAGAAGTCAATTTCTTTCAGTAATTGGATTGCCCTGGGAAATGCACATGAGAATTGGTTAAATAGTGGAACCCTAAATTCTCAAATGCCCTGGTGATCCCCACCTGAGTGCACTTACTCTACCAAGACCAACACTAGATCTCCAAATGTAGCTCATACAAGGAAATGTTTCTTTAATCTAAGCCACTCAAGAACAGAGAGATTATAATTATATACTGAGGAGTGGCATTCGAAAATATTTATTGAATGAGTGGACAAGTGAATATACTGTATCCTTACAAAGCCAATCTGAATCAAGATCCTCTCTATAGCAAATTACCTTTGTGGCGATTCTATTCGGAGACAAGTGATGTTACAGTGAGCTCCGGGTGCATCAGTAGTTTGAAACATTTGTCAGAATCCATTCCTTTCATTTCCATTTTTTTGCATATAATTTTTGCACGAAATATCTGATTGTCTCTCCCATTTCCTCCGCAGCTGGAGCAACGGACACACTGAAAGCATCCTTTCCGAAAGCCACTCTGTAATCGTGATGTCATCCGTAGAAAACAGTAGGCACAGCAGCCCAACTGGGGGCCCAAGAGGACGTCTTAATGGCACAGGAGGCCCTCGTGAATGTAACAGCTTCCTCAGGCATGCCAGAGAAACCCCTGATTCCTACCGAGACTCTCCTCATAGTGAAAGGTAAAACCGAAGGGCAAAGCTACTGCAGAGGAGAAACTCAGTCAGAGAATCCCTGTGAGCACCTGCGGTCTCACCTCAGGAAATCTACTCTAATCAGAATAAGGGGCGGCAGTTACCTGTTCTAGGAGTGCTCCTAGTTGATGAAGTCATCTCTTTGTTTGACGGAACTTATTTCTTCTGAGCTTCTCTCGTCGTCCCAGTGACTGACAGGCAACAGACTCTTAAAGAGCTGGGATGCTTTGATGCGGAAGGTGCAGCACATGGAGTTTCCAGCTCTGGCCATGGGCTCAGACCCACTCGGGGTCTCAGTGTCCTCAGTTGTAACATTAGAGAGATGGCATCAATGCTTGATAAGGACCCTTCTATAATTCCAATTGCCAGTTATCCAAACTCTGATTCGGTGGTCGAGCTGGCCTCGTGTTCTTATCTGCTAACCCTGTCTTACCTTCCAGCCTCAGTTAAGTCAAATCAAGGGCTATGTCATTGCTGAATGTCATGGGGGGCAACTGCTTGCCCTCCACCCTATAGTATCTATTTTATGAAATTCCAAGAAGGGATGAATAAATAAATCTCTTGGATGCTGCGTCTGGCAGTCTTCACGGGTGGTTTTCAAAGCAGATACTGCCTTCAAGATGGCCCTTTATTCCAGAATGTTTTGGCTTTCCTTTGGGGAGATTGGGTTGGGTTGGGGGAGTTATAGCAAAGGTAAAATGAAGAATGGAGGAAAGTAAACAAAGAGATATTAAATAGTAATATTGAATTCATAGATTCTCTTTCTCCATTTTCACCTGAGCTGGAAGATGACCAGTATTTCTAGCCCATCAGTAAGCTGTTACCTGTTCCTATTTGTTTGCAAGTCTGCTGGGTTTTACTTTATTTTATTGTCATCTCAGGCTAATCTTTGACCATTTACTAAAAGGTTTACATAATGTCAAATCCATACTTATGTGGTAGTTACATGGGAGGAGATGACTTTGATAGAGTCTTTCCACTCTTGGACTGGGAAGTTACTTCCAATAAAATAACACATTCTGGGCTTGAAGGCCTGTTGCTTACTTTTGCAAGGGCCTTTCCTTCAAAATGATATTTTAGAACTTTGTGGAATTTATGAAATCAGAGGTAAGCTATTACCTGTTTGTTTGCAAGTCCGCTGAATTTTATTTTATTTTATTTTATTTTATTTTATTTTATTTTATTTTATTTTATTGTCATCTTAGTCTAATCCTTGACCATTTACTAAAAGGTTTACATAATGTCAAATTCATACTTGTGTGGTAGTTCCATGGGTAGGGATGACTTTCATAGACTCTTCCCACTCATGGACTGGGGAGTACTTACAATAAAAAATGACAGGCTGGGCACGGTGGCTCACGCCTCTAATCCCAGCACTTTGGGAGGCTGAGGTGGGTAGATCACGAGGTCAGGAGATCAAGACCATCCTGGCCAACATGGTGAAACCCCATCTCTACTAAAAATACAAAAATTAGCTGGGTATGGTGGTGCTGCCCTGTAGTCCCAGCTACTAGGGAGGCTGAGGCAGGAGAATTGCTTGAACCCAGGAGGTGGAGGCTGCAGTGAGCTGAGATGGTGCCACTGTACTCCAGCCTAGGCAACAGAGCAAGACTCCGCCTCAAAAAAAAAAAAAAAAAAAAAACATTCTGGACTTGCAAGCCTGTTGGTTACTTCTTCAAGGGCCTTTCCCCAAAAATGATATTTTAGAACGTTATGGAATTTATGAAATCAGAGGTTTCCCTGCAACCAATCTATGAAAAAGTAGGCAGGGTTTAAACTGTTTTAAAACTTTAGTCTTAAATTCATATTTTTTTAATGTATTAAGGAAGTCTATCCATTCTGTTTCAATCGTTTTTTGAAACATGAAAAGGAAGTTAGAGATGAAATCATTCTTCATCACTACAAGTGATATTTATCCTTAAATGTTGACATTTCCCCACTGTGCTGGGCTTCTAGATGATATCTAGGACTACGAAATATTCCTGAACCTAGAGATTATGGAGAGAAAAGATGAATCACTTTTATATGTTGGTTGAATTTAAATTAGCATTTCTCAGAGAGCTTAATTTAAGTACCCCCAAAGCCAAAAGTTTGAAGGCTCAAGGCCCACATATTTCAATTTCTCAGGCACGTTCCCAGTTTAGAGGCAGCTAGCTCTCACGTCTGTATCACTGTGACTCCGGGAGAAGCAGGGAGGTTCATACGTTTTCCGTTCCTGTTAGCAAGAGTTCAGATGATGGCATTCCATGTCATTTCAGGTCACGTCAAATTAGACTCTGTGAATGCCAGTGTGAAGAAAAGAGTCATTTAGTGTTGTGCGTTGGTAACATTTTTTATCAAAAGCTGAGAAATGTGACTCTGAATAAGCCACGTCTTCCTCAGTGCCAAAAGTCAGGACTTCTTATACTGGGGGAAGAAAGCATGGTGTGGTGAAAACAGTGTGCTCGGTGGCCTAATGGCAAGAGTCACTGAGCATTATCAGACATAACATGATAGAAGGTAACAGGGTACAGCCAACCCTTGAGGCATCATGAAAGAGATTGACCAAAGACTGATATAGCTGTGGGTTTTGGAAGAGAGATAGACCAAAGATTGGACATAACCTCCATTGTGGTAACTGTGAAGCCAAATTAGGTTCTCTCAGGCTTACCTTTGACTGTGTTTGTTGGACACTGGGATGGATAGTTCCAAATTGAATGTTAACTAGTTGCATTTCATGGAAAAAATGAAAAGCACACAAATGTATGACACTGTTGTCAGGAATAAATCTAAGTTACTATGCTCTTTTTTTTTCATAAGACATAACCTTATAGCTGAGCTAAGGAGAAACAAGGCACACAGATCCAAATGCATGCAGATCCAGCTATCAGCAACTCATCTTAGATCTTCTTCCATTCCCCATTTGGGCTTCATTCTCTAAGACCCCTTGGCCTTTAGGAAGGTATAGTATTTAAGTAATACTTCTTTCCCTTCCGAATCCCTGAGCCTTGGTCCTTATATAAGCTGAGAGGTTTCCAGGACCTAATGCCTTCTTGTCTTGGCTCATATGCCATTATTTATAATTGTGATGAGATTGAAAATCCCAAAAGCTTTGATGAGCTAGGCAATTTAGCTGATCTTTGCATGCACTCCTGTGAGGAAACTCTTGGCTACCTAATTTTCGATTCCAAGGGTGTGGAATTTCCTAGCCTAAATAATTAAGCAGCCTACAATGAATAGAAATTCTCTGTTCTCTGATGATATAATACCGTGAACTCTGTCCCCTTACCTTCCCTGCTATGTGCCTCTTATTGCACCACACTTATGCAGGGTATTCTGTGCTCACACAGGTATGTGTCAGCCATGACCACCCCGGCTCGTATGTCACCTGTAGATTTCCACACGCCAAGCTCCCCCAAATCGCCCCCTTCGGAAATGTCTCCACCCGTGTCCAGCATGACGGTGTCCATGCCTTCCATGGCGGTCAGCCCCTTCATGGAAGAAGAGAGACCTCTACTTCTCGTGACACCACCAAGGCTGCGGGAGAAGAAGTTTGACCATCACCCTCAGCAGTTCAGCTCCTTCCACCACAACCCCGCGCATGACAGTAACAGCCTCCCTGCTAGCCCCTTGAGGATAGTGGAGGATGAGGAGTATGAAACGACCCAAGAGTACGAGCCAGCCCAAGAGCCTGTTAAGAAACTCGCCAATAGCCGGCGGGCCAAAAGAACCAAGCCCAATGGCCACATTGCTAACAGATTGGAAGTGGACAGCAACACAAGCTCCCAGAGCAGTAACTCAGAGAGTGAAACAGAAGATGAAAGAGTAGGTGAAGATACGCCTTTCCTGGGCATACAGAACCCCCTGGCAGCCAGTCTTGAGGCAACACCTGCCTTCCGCCTGGCTGACAGCAGGACTAACCCAGCAGGCCGCTTCTCGACACAGGAAGAAATCCAGGCCAGGCTGTCTAGTGTAATTGCTAACCAAGACCCTATTGCTGTATAAAACCTAAATAAACACATAGATTCACCTGTAAAACTTTATTTTATATAATAAAGTATTCCACCTTAAATTAAACAATTTATTTTATTTTAGCAGTTCTGCAAATAGAAAACAGGAAAAAAACTTTTATAAATTAAATATATGTATGTAAAAATGTGTTATGTGCCATATGTAGCAATTTTTTACAGTATTTCAAAACGAGAAAGATATCAATGGTGCCTTTATGTTATGTTATGTCGAGAGCAAGTTTTGTACAGTTACAGTGATTGCTTTTCCACAGTATTTCTGCAAAACCTCTCATAGATTCAGTTTTTGCTGGCTTCTTGTGCATTGCATTATGATGTTGACTGGATGTATGATTTGCAAGACTTGCAACTGTCCCTCTGTTTGCTTGTAGTAGCACCCGATCAGTATGTCTTGTAATGGCACATCCATCCAGATATGCCTCTCTTGTGTATGAAGTTTTCTTTGCTTTCAGAATATGAAATGAGTTGTGTCTACTCTGCCAGCCAAAGGTTTGCCTCATTGGGCTCTGAGATAATAGTAGATCCAACAGCATGCTACTATTAAATACAGCAAGAAACTGCATTAAGTAATGTTAAATATTAGGAAGAAAGTAATACTGTGATTTAAAAAAAACTATATTATTAATCAGAAGACAGCTTGCTCTTACTAAAAGGAGCTCTCATTTACTTTATTTGATTTTATTTTTCTTGACAAAAAGCAACAGTTTTAGGGATAGCTTAGAAAATGGGTTCTGGCTTGCTATCAGGGTAAATCTAACACCTTACAAGAGGACTGAGTGTCACTTTCTCTCTGGGGGAATGATCCAGCAGCTTATCTAGTTGACAATCAAAACACGGCTGATAAAGGTGCAATCATTTCTGACATGTATTTTTCACTGATTTTGAAGCTAGTGATTGGTTGTGTCTTCTTGGCTCAAAAAGAAGCATATTACGGCACAAAAAGCCCAGCCCAGACAGCACATGCAGCATTTTGTCTGAAATACTTCTAGAGTCAAACGTGCCTGCTGTACATAGCGATGACTTGTCATCATAGGGAAGTATTTCCATCGTAGAGTGTTCAGAAGGAGTGACTGTATAGGTGGAGAGAAGCTTAGTGACTCCGTTGAAATTTTAAAATGTGGATGACCACCCCTTTCTCCCCCTTATTTTTCTTTTATCTTTCCATGTTGCCTTGATCAGGTCATAACTATGCATGAACATTTTTTATCAGGAATGGCCGATGTGTATGTGATTTGTAATCACAAGTAATGATTCATCAGGAAATGTCAATCCTGTTGGAAAGATTGCACCTTTACTTGCAGAAGTGACCCCCACCTGTGTCCTGACCTCTCCATTTACAGGCTCTCTCACCCATTTCCCCCACCTCCTTTAATTTTTGCTTTACTGTCATAAAGTAGGACTAAGATTGGTCTAAGCATTGCATGTTCTTTTGTGATGGTAAATCCAAAGGAAGGCCTATAAGTATTAACATTTGAAATAACTGCTAATTCAGGAAAATGGAAGAAAAAAAATTATTTGAAACACAGAACCCATTTCATGGCCTGCCTGATATCTGTGAAATCAGGGCTGGAGCTTTACTTAGGATTCACATGGCCTCCTAGGAACCATGGGACAAATGGGAAACAGGTTATCGGGGGATTCATGAAGTCAGTGAGAGTAATTGCTTCTTTTTTGCGGGTGAACTGAATGTATTTCTTCACCAAATCTTGATGTTAACAATTAAAAAGAAGAAATGACATGCAAGTAGGTCTTAGCAGAAAAATGCAGGCTGGGCATGAGTCATGTTGTTACCCTCCCACATGCTCCTACAATCCACAGAGATGCCTGTCTGCAGGTTCTTGAAGTTATTGTTAGTATTTGGTATCTCAAATTTTTCGTCACTGTTCACATGCCACTTTCTCTGTGCACAGTGGTATCCTCATTTGCTTTTTAACCTACACTGAGGAGTCTTTGTCAGGTTGCACTGATTTTCCAATTCTGCAGTAATGAGTAAGCTCACGGCATGGGGAAGAAGACAGTCAGTCCAATGAAGTTCTCTAAATTATTTTAACATTGCCTTTGAAGGCCTTGACTCATCCTTAGCTATTTCAATGAAGAAATTCCTACCATGAATTTAAAACCCTAAAAATTCTGTTTCAAATTCTTTGGGCATTGGGGTACTCAGATATCCCATTGTGGAAGAATTTTAAGAATAAATAGAAGTTTCTGTTGAGAACCATGAGCAACATGTTTCTTACAATGAGAATTGCTATGCATTTTAAAATTGCAAATATATATGAAAATTGAAGACAAGAGGAAATTGTATTTCTAACTTGATTCTGATCACTCACAGAGGTGGCATATTATTATAGTTGGGACATCCTTTGCACCCTTCATAAAAAAGGCCAGCTGACTGCTCAGCATCACCTGCCAAGGCCACTAGATTTGTGTTTACAGGGGTATCTCTGTGATGCTTGTCACATCACTCTTGACCACCTCTGTTAATAAATTCCGACAGTGCAGTGGCGATCGGAGTGTGAACTTATGTTCCCAGCATATGGAAAGCTATCTTAGGTTTTAAGGTAGTAGAAATTGCCCAGGAGTTTGACAGCAACTTTGTTTCCCGGGTCTAAAATCGTATCCCACTGAGGTGTATGCAGTGGAGCATAATACATGCAAATACATGCAAAACTCCTTTTGTTTCACCTAAGATTCACTTTCTATCTTACTTTCCCTTCCTGCCTAGTGTGACTTTTGCCCCCAAGAGTGCCTGGACAGCATTCTAGTTTCTACAAAATGGTCCTCTGTGTAGGTGAATGTGTCCCAAACCTGCTATCACTTTCTTGTTTCAGTGTGACTGTCTTGTTAGAGGTGAAGTTTATCCAGGGTAACTTGCTCACTAACTATTCCTTTTTATGGCCTGGGGTTAAAGGGCGCATGGCTCACACTGGTGAAAATAAGGAAGGCCTGGTCTTATCTTGTATTAATAATACTGGCTGCATTCCACCAGCCAGAGATTTCTATCTGCGAAGACCTATGAAACACTGAAGAGAAATGTAGGCAGAAGGAAATGGCCACATATCACAAGTTCTATTATATATTCTTTTGTAAATACATATTGTATATTACTTGGATGTTTTCTTATATCATTTACTGTCTTTTTGAGTTAATGTCAGTTTTTACTCTCTCAACTTACTATGTAACATTGTAAATAACATAATGTCCTTTATTATTTATATTTAAGCATCTAACATATAGAGTTGTTTTCATATAAGTTTAAGATAAATGTCAAAAATATATGTTCTTTTGTTTTTCTTTGCTTTAAAATTATGTATCTTTTCCTTTTCTTTTTTTTAAGAATAATTTATTGTTCAGGAGAAAGAATGTATATGTAACTGAAACTATCTGAAGAATGCACATTGAAGGCCGTGAGGTACTGATAAACTAAAGAATTTATTATTCAAAATACTAAGCAATAAGTAATTGTGATTTATTTAAAGTTTTGTCCATTTTCCATGAAAGACATACTGCAATAAAAATGCTACTCTGTGGAGACCTGGGAGTGTTGCTCAGCAGACTACAGCTTCAGTCTGTTAGACCAGCACCTTTCATCTCATTCCCATAGTTATGCTAATTTAGGATTGTGTTCCATGGACCCCATGATCACCTTGTCTATACGTTGCTTCTTGTCTGTCCATTGCTTTTGCCACACCACCTGTTCTCAAATCATCTCCTCCCTACCAATGCTGTTTATCACTTTCTTCCTTGTTGAAGAGGCCACACAACCAGACAGTACTATGCTTCCTTTTTCCTCCATACACAATAACAGAGAGAGAATATTCTAGGGCATGACTGCCTGGATCCTGGCTGTTGCTATCTTTTGTAGTGGCAGTAAGAAACTCCTTCAGACTAATGAAAATGTCAACGTGCCATTCAATCACGAAAGGTAACGAAAAATGCTCTCATGGTTCAAATAGTCCAATGGCCCATAGTGGCCTAAAAGGCAGCCAGTTGACACCTGGCCATGCTAAGCTTCCTTATACCATCCGCTAATGACTTTCCATTGGGCCCACAATTTACGGATTCATAATTTTAAAAGAGGAGAAGGCCAAGTTAGGTTCATTCCCCTTATTCTGTCAATAAAACAAATCAAACTCATGTCTATCTAACTGCTCAGGGAGGAGCCTTTGCATGAGAAAATTCTCATATTCTAAGACTGAGTCATAGAAATGAGGGTATTACTTTTCTTACTGCAATTAACCTAAACAAAAGCCATATTTTAACAAATAGATATTTGCATGGTACCCTTCATATATTCCAAGCATTTCACTCATTATTCCAGGTAGGTTAAGAGCTTCTGAAGTGTATGAAGTAAAGGTCAGCAATCCTTTGGGGTGAACAGTGGCCTCCTTTGGAGTTTGGGGGTAACCTGAGACTTCCCACCAATGTCCACCTCCATCTGTGTACCTAATTCCTATTACCTAGTTATGGCTCCTCTAGGATCATTTCCAAACACTCTGGATGTCCAGGAAATTTAAATTGTAGCTTTTGACTGAGCTAGTTTTTCCTATTTATATTAATAAATTTTCAAAAATGCTTGAAATCTTCACATTTGCAACAACTTTAGTTTTCATGCACATACAAACACAGAGAGACAAAAATTCCAAACAGACACTCTCCAAAAGCCACCACACTCTTTCACTTGCTCTATAGTCATTTAGCCAACCAGCCATGCAGAGAATATTTAAAACTTAAAGATTGAGACATTATTCTCAGTTTTTGCTGAGGCTTTGTAACGAAATTGAACACTATAAGCAGCTATTGTAGTAATTTTGGTTAAAATTGTTTGCCTGGGATATAGTATTTGAGGCAGAAGCACGTGTGTGAAGGAGGTGAGGTGGTTTGGAAAGAGTGAAGACTCGCAGCCAGATTGAATGTCTGGATAATTACTATAATTCTCCCTTCTTGGTTGAAACCATGTTCTCTCTTGATTTTTAAACCCAGGCTGCCTCTGGAAACAAGCAAACCTGAGTCTTTCTAACCTGAGTCTTCCCAATCATTAGATTTCTTTTCTGTCCTAACGATGAATGATAAAAGGACTTGATGTTCACAATTTGGGGTTATAAGGCAGGTCTGAAATCTGGAGACTCAAGATGCTGGAAGGAGTGGAAAGTTTCGATGACTTTATATGAATCACTTTGCACTCTATGTTTGGCTTGTCCTCTTTGAAACTGATTTACTAAAATAAATGTAAGGGAACTATTACTCCAAAAGATTAACTTGGCAGGAAATACCAATACTTTCAGTTTATGAAAGACAAAACTGTCTTGTTGCTACAGGAAGCTGCAATGTTCCTAACCTTTAAGGTTGGTGTTGAATAGGGTGGTCATGCCCTCCCCTGCAGGTATCTTTAGGCTCCTGTTGACCTCCTGGTACTATAACTGTTCGTCTTCTCTGGGTAGCTATTGATTTTGAACTTTAACATGCTTCAAAACTTTATTCATCAGGGAAATAGGAAAAGAGTTTTGTTACCTGGAGGAAATCTATTGTGATCTACCTGAGCTTTTTAAAAACAGACCAGGAGAAGGAAACCAGTAATTTTTAAAGAAGAGACAGAGAATGGGATAATAGTTTCACCCAGGATCTCTTTCTAACCCTTTCCCTTCAAATGAACTTATTGGAACAGAATTGGAAAGAAGAAAGGACATCTCTGCCCACCCCACAGGATGCCAAAAAGGCTAAAGAATTACCTCTGTAGATTTAAACATCTTTAATGGCTTATGTATAGATTTGCTAATACAGAGAGAAATGAACTATTAAATAAAAATCACATTTTATAATATTTTTATGGCTTAAAACATCCTTTATCTCCTTTTTGTTCTCTCTACATGATATGGTAAGTGATGAGGAAAATTTAGGCTCAGGAAGGTTAAAATCTTTCTTGGAGTTACACATCTAAGAGAGCTGCAGAGCTGACACTTGTACCCAGGTTTTCTGACTGCAAATCCAGTTTCTTTCTATTGCGTTCTTCCCCTTTCCCTGCCTCAAGCAGAAACAGGTTTTTTATTTTCAACCTTTATGTATACAGTATGTTATGTTACATCTACAGCTAAGTTTCTTTTTAGAAGAATGTGAGCCCTTCTAGCTTTGGTTTAGAGTGATTCTAGAAGCCAATTTCCTTGGCTTAGTGATTCTATGCACCTTTCCTAAACTTAGCTTTCTAAGGAAATGAAGTGTACGAGTGAGAATGAATTCACAATTTCGACATGTAGGTAGCATCCTAAAGTGAAAAGAGGAGGAAATTTGTGGTCAAAGCACTCTCCCCACCACTTAGAAACTTACTGACTGTGGGCAGCTTCCTCCTCCAAGTTTCCTTCCTGATTTACAAGACCGTGGTGTGGTCAGGATTAAACTTGAATACATGTAAGGAAGCCTGAAAGTGTCTAACACATAGCGAGTATTCAAATGCCACCTTCTATTTGATCCTTCCCCTCCAGTTCCTTAAGTTTTGGAATCTAGGTTTCTCAGTTCCAAATGGATTGACATTTGCATATCCCCATTGCACAATGGATCAAATAAACTTTATGTTATCATTTCTCCAACATAGTGCCAGTAAGCAAATCCTTTTTAATAACAACAGTATGTTGAGAAACATATCACCAAATAATATTTAACTTTGTAGCTTTGATAAGTTCTTTAGGTTTTGGTTTTGGTTTTGTTTTCTGAGACAGGGTCTTGATCTGTCACCCAGACTGGAGTGCAATGGTTCAATTTTAGCTCACTGCAACCTGTAACTCCTGAGCTCAAGTGATCCTCCCACCTCAGCCTCTCAAGTAGCTGGGACTACAGGTGTGCTCCACCATGCCCAGCGATTTTTTTTTTTTTTTTTTTTTTTTTTTTTGGTAGGGACAAGGTCTCGCTATGTTGCCCAGGCTGGTCTTCAATTCCTGGCCTTAAGTGATCCTCCTGCCTCGGCCTCCCAAAGTGCTGGAATTACAGGCATGAGCCACCACCCATAACTTTATGTTTGTTTTTTTGATGCAGTATAAGTTCAGCTTGCTTCTTATGCAGCCATACCATTTCATGTTAACTCTGATTTTTAGCAGCTTATTACATTAGTGTTTTATTATTAATATAATTTTACAGAAATTTACTAAACCATGACTCTGTAGAGTTTTAATAATACTACCTCCAAACATCATTGCAAACATCTAGAAGAATGAACAAAAATGATCTTAGATCGACAGTATATCTGTTTGTCTTAGTTTCTACACAGGATGTTCAGACATATTCCATTTCTTTAAAAAAAAAATATATATATATATATATATATATAGGCCTGGCACGGTGGCTCATGACTGTAATCCCAGCACTTTGGGAGGCTTAGGCAGGCAAATCACCTGAGGTCAGGAGTTTGAGACTGGCCTGACCAACATGGTGAAACCTCGTCTCTATTAAAATTACAAAAATTAGCCGGGCGTGGTGGCACATGCCTGTAATCCCAGCTACTCGGGAGGCTGAGGCAGGAGAATCACTTGAACCTGGGAGGCAGAGGTTGCAGTGAGTTGAGATCACGCCATTGCACTCCAGCCTTGGTGACAAGAGTGAAACTCCGTCTCAAAAAAAAAAAAAATATGTATATATATATATATATATATATATATATATATATATATATATATATAAAATCCCACCAAAAGTCTGCAGAGTGACCAAATTAGACGGCTCTGGTTTCAGATTAAATTCTAAATGTGAGAAACCACATAGCTCCCATGATCCATCCAATAATTCCTCACGTCCTCTTCACTCTTTACTCCATGCATAAAACAGAATTTTTTTTTCTCATCCTGGGTATGAAGCAATTAATAATTTACGGATTTAGCCTATTTGGATTCAATCCCTTCAAACTCCATACTACATCCAAGGTGGAAGTGACTTAAACTCTGATATCAATCATCAGGCTTGTAATATAGGCTTTGTTAATGGCAGGAGAGTCTAATAAAACTTTCTGTTCCTTATCCTTCATTTAAATGAAAAACTTTTTATTGAAAACAATCATAACTCTAGCTCATCATAAATATAATTCATGAGGACATTTTATTATTTTTATATTAAAGAAATAATATTATAGATGTAAACTTTGCACCTTTCTAATTATTATCATGAGTTAAGCTAATACTTGTCTTCTGGTCCCTAGATGATGATTCTTTTTTGCCTTACTGGAGGAGCCCTTGTCTTGAAGTGAGTTGCTTCAACAGCAGAGGACTTCTAGTTTCTCCCAGTTGAGCCTAAAGTGAACTTTTCATCTTCTTCAGAGGAAGGGGCTTCCTTGATTTGTACTTTTGTGGCTCCTCAGATAACACAGACAATTTTATCTTGGATCCCAGGTTCTCTTCACCATTAAGAATAAGAAAGAGAGAAAATGCTGTGCATGACAGCCACCTACTCCAAACTACCCAACCCCCTGTAACCAGGTACCTTCCAACAACGAGATGATTCTGCCCTCACTCAAGAGTCTCCCCCACAAAGATTCCATTCTCCCTTTACTTTTTATTTTTTATTTTTTTGCAAAACAAAGGCCTCCTTTAGTACCTCCTTAGTTTATAACCCTTATCTTCCCAGCTCTTCCCTTCACTGATACCTCTGATTTCAAAAGTTCTGAAGTCGGAAGACCACACAATTTCAGACTGTGAACAGAAATTCAGTCAGAAATTATTGGAGTTAGAAAGAATTTAGAGAAATTGTATTGAACTAGAAAGTCCTCTTTGATTAGTGGTGGCCCTTTAGAAAGTTCTAGGGCAGAGTCCCATGGTGTTTCATCTTTTCCATGATTTGCTTGACCAAAAACTTTTCTTTCACAACATGAAAATATGCTAATCCACCACACATTTTGGATTCTGCTCTGTTTGCCTGAGGTGTTAGATCTCTAGCCAGGACTGTGAAGGGAAGGAACTTGAATCCTTCCTATTGAGCTATTAATGCAGAGTCAGTGAGATGAAGGGTTCCACTCGGGGTCAAAATCATGTCAGTTACCAAGCAAAGGAGCAAGTAAGGGGAAACATCTCCTCATCTGGTTAGTGGAGCCACATTTCACCCACTGATCAAGCCAGACCTGAGCAATAGTCTAGATTTCTCCCTCCACATCTAATTGGTGACAATGGTGATTGTACCACTGACAGGTCACACAAGTCCACACCCTCCTTCACAGCCTCACTGCTTCGGCTCTTGTTTATGCTCTTATCAGCATCTGTCACTAGGATCCATTTGTCTCCTGACTCATCTACTTCCTTTCACTCCCCTGGGCCATCCTTCACATCATGCTAGAAGACTGTGTCTAACTTGCAGAACTTATTGTGTCAATCTCCTGGTTACGGCCCCTCCATGGCTCCCCACCTGACATAGGAGGCCCTTCACAATCTGGCTTCTGTCACTCATAACTTGTCTCCAGCCTTCATTCTTCAGTCTGATTTTATGGTTTTCTAGTTCCCCAATACACCACACCAGTGTTTATGAAACCCTAGTCATTGGCCTACGAACTTTATGATTATTGACATATTCATGTACCACCTGTATTATTTTTTGCATAGTGTTTATTTTTAATTGACTACATTTTTAACTACAATAAAGTAATTTCAACTAAAACTTGGTATCAATGCTGCGAATGGAAAACTGCTATCAGTTGCCATAATAAAAATGAAACTGTAAAAATAAATATAATAAAAATGAAACAAAGTTATTAAGTTCTAACCAGATACTGTTGCCTGCTCAAAGGTCTGAGCAATAAGCCTGTTCTCTGTTTGACACAAAGGGAGTTCAGAAAGTGTTAGAGAGATAGAAAATATTTTGGGGAAGCACAGAAAGATTTATTCCCTGAGTTAGCCAGGATTGAGAGGGAGTTGATAGAGCAGTTACTTCTATGGTTTTGTTCAATGTTATTTAATGCTTGATCCTAGAATCATCCTGCATACAACATTCAGTCATCCACATATCTCAGGAAGCACAATATTGTGCTTGCTACATATCCCTGCCCTTGTTCTGTTTTACTGGAACTCCCTTCTCCATTCGTCCTCCTGACAAACTTCTTTCGCCCTCTCTCTGGATAAAGAGAGTTTCCTTCTCTGGGATTCCTTCCATGACCTATTTCCAAGTTTCCAGGCCTTGAGTGTTCCTTCATTGCTATCTCATAGCACGCCATACACTCTCCAACACAGCATTTTCCATCTATCTCAGAACTTGTAGTTAACTGCAACTCCTCCCTCAGCAGACCATCCGTTCATTGAGGACAGACAAAGACACTGTCTTATTTGTGTATGCCCACTGCCTAAGACAGTGCCTGGAACGTTGTAGACACTGGACATCTACAGAATGTATCCCTGGCAGCGAGAGACTCAGTTGCCATAGGTTGGCAAGCACATGAGGAATCTAGGGGATCATAGTGACCTTTAAAGCTAAGATCAAGAAAAGAGTAACCTGTAAATTGTTACAACAAAATCAGAAATGTAGGAGTAGAACCAAGCTTGCTAAGTCATGGTCAAAAACACTATAGGTCAGAGTTCAAGGAATGGAGGCTTCAAAGTTTAGACTAGATTTTGCAGTGAATGCATGAGTACTAAATATACCTTTACGCTTGTCTTGGCTCCCTCTCCACCCAGGAACCCAAGATTAAAATTAACCCTTCATTTCTCTTCTTCCTCCTTCCATCCCCTCTCGCATCTTCTCAAGGTCTCAAAAATAAAGCCCTCTAGTTGAGCATTCTTCACTAGGTCAGGTTGTTTTTTTTTCTCAACTTTTATTTTAGATTCAGAGGATACATGTGCAGGTTTGTTTACATGGGTACATTGTGTGATGCTGAGGTTTGGGCTACGAATGATGCCATTCACTAGGTAGCGAACATAATACCCAACAGACAGTTTTTCAACCCTTTCACCCCCTACTAGTCCCCAGGGCCTATTGTTCCCATCTTTATGTCCATGAGTACCCAATGTTTAGCTCCCACTTATAAGTGAGAACATGCAGTATTTGGCTTTCTGTTCCTGCATTAAAGCCCTTAGGATAACAGCCTCCAGCTACATCCATGTTGCTTCAAAGGACATGATTTTGTTCTTTTTTTAATAGCTGTGTAGTATTCCATGGTATATATGTACCACATTTAGGTCAGCCTTATAAAGAAGATTTCCTTATTGACCGTAGCATCAAACCCAACCTAAGTGCTCAGTCCTTTGAAGAGGTACAAAGATATCCTTGCATAGAACAAGCCCACAAGTTTTCCAGATGTGTGGGTTGAGTAAAACATATGAAATGAACATGCCGTATAAATCAGTGAAATATGTAATTTGTTATTCTGGATAGAATGCTGATTTGCAAGACTAAGTGTTCAGGGATATTTTCTAGGTAATTCCACTTCATACGTAGGCACAGTATAACTATTTGCAAGGGAGAGGAAGGGCACCTAATATTACCACAGAAGTCTTCTTTTCCCAATAGTTTGCCAGCCTGAAAATGTAGTCTTCTTTATTGATTAAAAAAATCTGTCAAATTGTCAACTTAAATGTAAGGCTTTTTGTTTATTGGTTTACCTAGTGATTCTAAAGCTAACTCCAAATTTAGTTACCCAAAGATTAAAAGAATATAGCCGTGTGGTTTTTTTAAGCTTTCCTGTCCAATATACAAACCCAGTTTGCCACCTGCTCATCAATGGAATTTTATGTAACTTTCAACTTTAAAGATAATTGGATAGGAAATACCTACAGAGCTTTTTGAAAATTTCAGTGAAACGGCATGTCCCTGGCATGGAGTTGATCACACCTGCAATCCCTGCCAATCTGTGCTTGTCAGACTCAGAATTAGTCTCCTAGGCTGCCTATTCAGTGATGCCTGAAGGTGCCCACACCTGGGATAGCAGATACCACACTGCTCGTGACCTTCTAAATTCCCCACCTAAAGGGCAGCAGGTTGACAACCAGGTTGATAGGGTTAAGTTTTGTGTTGCCACCCAAATCTCATCTTGAATTATAATCCCCAGGTGTTGAGGGAAAGACCTGGAGGGAAGTGATTGGATTATGGGGGTGGGGGCAGTTTCCCCCAGGCTGTTCTCATGGTAGTGAGTGATTTCTCACGAAATCTGATGGTTTTATAAGGGGCTCTCCTCCCTTCACTCCTCACTCTGCTCTCCTCCCACCTTGTGGAGTAGGCTGTGTTTACTTCCCCTTCTACCGTGATTGTATGTTCCCCGACACCTCCCCAGCCATGTGGAATGGTGAGCCAATTAGACCTCTTTCCTTTATAAATTACCCAGTCTCCAGTAGTTCTTTGGATTAGTATGAGAATGGATTAATACAGTGAATTGGTACCGCAGAGAGTGGGGTACTGCTATAAAGAAGATACTTGAAAAGGTGTAAGCAACTTCAGAACGGGGTAACGGGCAGAGGTTGGAACGGTTTGGAGAACTCAGAAGAAGACATGTGGGAGAGCTTAGAACTTCCTAGCGACTTGTAGAATGGTTTTGGCGAAAATGATGATAGTGATATGTGCCCGGCAAGGTGTCATAGCCCCAGCACTGGGAAGTGGTTGACACGCGGGTTGGTAGAAAGAATTTACCAACAACAGTATAGGATTGAAAAAGGAAAGTTTATTAGAAAGGAAGAATGCTACAAAAGGGTGCAGCGGAGCACCTCAGTGGGAGGACTGAGTGTACCACGGTGGATTTTTTCTGAGGAGCATTTATGGACCTTAAGGTAGAAGCTTAGGGTTATGAAATGAGTTTTGGCATGGCATTCCAGAGATGCAGAGAAATTTTAATTATTATACTCATCCAAGTTGAAAGAGGCCTGGAACCAGATGCTGACTTTAGATACTAGGGAAGTTTAATTACTTCTTACTTTTCTAGATAAGGAGTTTTGCCTCTGGATGGTCTGTTTAATAGTTACCAGGTGGTATTTGCTCCCTTCTAAATTCCTCAGACAAGGAGTTTTTTTCTCTGGGGCTTGTTCAATAGTCTCCAGGTGATTTTGCTCTCCTCATTTTCCCTCTGACAAATATTTTGGTCAAATCTTTGACCCTTTATATTCCCCCATGCCTCATGTCTACCTGCTGCCTATTGGGGTCTCAAGAAAGGGAAAACACCATAGTGAAGAGGGGCATCGAGTCTGTCTGGCTACTTGCTGCTGAAAGGGGAGCACTGAAGGAGATAGGTTGTGTTTTTCCCTTTCTTGTTCTCTGTCACGAAAGCAATTAAGGGTCATGAAAAACTCGTTCAAGGGTGGGGGATGGGGAGAAACTAGATTCCATCAAGAGGCCCCACGTAAATGGAAGTTACTGTTGTAGGCTGGTATTGGGATTGCATAGTCACCTGTAGGTGGAATCTCTGTAATCTGGAAGATACAAACTTAGTAAAAGCAGTAAAAAGTAAGGACCAAATATCAAAAGAATGACAAGGAACAAAGGTCCAAGGAATGGAAGAAGCCAAGTGATTTTTGGAAACCAATCAGTAACAGGTTTGATCCACTCTTGGTTACTTTGATAAAGTGTATGTAACCATCTGGCTCGTTTGAAAATGTCTTGAACATCAGTCTCCACTTCTCCAGACACATTAATGTAGGTGCAACAGGTTTTGTTGATGACAGCACAGTCTCCTCCTCATTCAGCTAGGAGGTAACACAGAGCTTGTCTATTATCAAAAACCATTCCTGCTAGTGAGTCTAAAGACTTTTGTATCGCTGATATACTTGCACCAATTTTTGCTAAGGCTATTTCAAGGGAGATGGTAAGTTCTAGTAGTATGATTTTATGGTAAGTAAAACCTGCCCGAGGAGCAAGAGTTGCAATAGTTTCTACAACTCTGGCCACAATATGTTCTAGGCCCCTTTGTCCTCTTGAATGAAATTCTGAGTTGGAAGTTATGTTCAGGACAGCGATTTAGGTGGGAGCTATTGTTCCTAGAGTACAATCACCATAATGAAGAGAATGATCAAGGTGGGTAATATTGTTAGCCTTTGTGTCCCCACCCACATCTCATCTTGAATTGTAATCCCTGGGTGTTTAGGGAGAGAAGACCTGGTGAGAAGTGATTGGATTGTGGGAACGGTTTTCCCCATGCTGTTCTCATGATAATGAGTGAGTTTTCATGAGCTCTGATGGTTTTATAAGGGGCTCTTCCACTTTTGCTTGCCACCTGCCGCTTCGTGAACAAGGTGCCTTACTTTACCTTACACCATGATTGTAAGTTTCCTGAGGCCTCCCCAGACATGGAAAACTGAGTCAAATTAAACCTTTTTCCTTTATAAATTATCCAGTCTCTGATAGTTCTTTATAGCAGTGTGAGAACGAGCCAATACACAGGTATTGAAATATGAACAACCCAGGGGCTTGTACATGGTTAAATCTATAAAGCCGGAACATCTGTGCTCCAAAGCCAGGTCAGTGCTTTATTTATCTTATAAACTCACAGTCCAAAAGATTCATAGAGAGATCCTGCCTCTACAAAAAATTTAAAAATTAGCCAGTCATGGTGGTGTGATGGATTCCTCTTGGTGGAATCTAGTGATGGGCCTGTGGTCCAAGCTACTCAGGAGGATGAAGTGGGAGGGTCACTTGAGCCTAGGAGGTAGAAGCTGCAACGAACCATGATCACATCACTGCACTCCAACCTGGGCAACAGAGTGAAACCCTGCCTCAAAAAACAAACAAAAGATTCAGAATAAACCACTTAGATTAGTATAACTCTTTTCTTTGAATTCACAAATTGAGGATGTAAAATGATCTTGTCCACAATTACTCAGCCAATAAAATGAAGACCTGAAGAGGAGCTGACAGCTCCTCAGCTATTATTAGGCCATGTGGCTAGTCATCTTTAAAGCCCCTGAAGAAAATCCAGAGAGTAGTAACTTCCTGCTCTTTCTTGCTGATACTCATGTGTCAGCATTCCATGTTGGAAGCTGACAAACATTGTGCAGCTTTCTCTAGAATTTGCCTATGTTATGGTAAAAGGAAAATATGGTATAAAGAACACGAGCTCTGAGACCAGTGAGATCTAGGCTTACATCCTTCCTCTTTCACTTGGACAATTTGGGCAAATTTACATCCTTGAGCTTCAGATTCACTGTAGGGTTTACATTTGATCATTTTTTTATGCAAGCTTTAGTACAGAATGCCATATAGTAGGTGCTCAATAAATACTATGTCCTCCTTTGGGGCAATTTTCTTGTGTAGGAACACTAGCTTGTCTGGCAAAGAGAAAGGGATAGGCACTGTTCCTGAGCTTAGCAGCCTCACTGATTATGGCTGGTCCTGCCCTTCAAGATCCCCTGGGGAAGCCAGGCAAGAATGTGTGTCATCAGGAAGCTGGGGTCCAGGCTCTGCTGCCAGGATGGAGGCCCATTTTATTCCCCCTGCTACCTCAAAACATAAGAGTACAAACTTACTCAGAACCGAGTTAGCCCAGTAGAACAGATGTTTCATTTTCCTTGAGAACAAAACAATTTTATGAATTCAGAAATGGAAATAATAGTTTGCTTCATCTAATTAGCAGGAGCTAATTTAGATTTCAAGGTCATTGTGTACGGTGTCCTCCTCCTTCACATGCCCAGCACTTTGGCTCTACTCCCTCCCTGCTTCTGTGATTCAGCATCCATGCACACACCATAAACAATCACAATTTCCATTTTAGGATTTGGTCTCCTGGTGCTGTGCTACAGCCCCCGTTTTTAGGAAATTGGTGCTTGGCAAACGATGAAAAGTTTCACAGAATATGAAGGTTATGGCACAGTTTTCTCCTGCCTCATGGCTTAATTTAATTAAGTATTCTGTAATAGCTCTGCAGCAGACTTGTGCTGCGGAATGGGCTCCAATTTGCCCTATGGCAACTGCAGGAGCAGAGCAACTATAAGATATGCAAGATGACTCATCAGCTGTTGGAAAATGCAGTGAAACCTTTGCCTTTTCAACAGGATCAGGCAAGGGGACTGAGACAGCATCCCTGGGAATAGACACCTGGTAACTCAGCATCTACAAGATCATTTTAAAACATGCTTACAGTAGAGTAATCAGCAAAACCACTGTCTGACCTTGAAATTATTCTATGGCTGCTGGACCTTGAAGACACTGATGGAAGCAGCTAAGTCCAGCTGTCTGGGACTTTGATCAACTATGTCTGCCCCCCTCAGTGTAGCCAAGACCTCCCTTACAGCAGGTTCTCTAGGGCAGGAGGTGTAAGCAGAGAAGTCAGGAGACCAAGATGCTCTTTCTTATTGTGGCAGATACCGAGTAACCTCATGCCTTTGCAGGCTTTCGGCTGTGAGCAAATTCTGATATTTATTATCCTTACTGGGGACACTCAGCTTCACAGATTTTGTTTTTCAAACATGAAAAAAGAAAAAATCGAGGCCCTGAAGTCACAGAATGTTTTGGCAGCTATGTTCAGGCTTGATAGAAAGGCATCCCCATGGGGACGTAGCTTTTGTCTGGTTCCGTTTAATTTGCTATCTTCAGAAGGGAAAGATGGAGAGATAACCGGTTGGGTGGGGCTATGTGATGGAGATTTTCTGTTAAGATGGAAATGAGGGGAGCTTTAGGTAAGTGACAGATGACTTCCCAAGAAACTGCATGTAACTAGTCATGAACAACGTTGCAATCTAAGACACAAGTGACAGAGGTGGCCTAGGAGGCAATGCTCACATGTAGTCAGTTTGTACAGCCATATTCCCTTGCAAGGTTGTAAAGGGGACCACTCTGTATTACTGCTCATAGCCATGGCTACGCTGTCTGCCTATTAGATGTTTAAGATTTTTTTTTTTTTTTTTTTTTTTGAGACGGAGTCTCGCTCTGTCATCCAGGCTGGAGTACAGTGGCACCATCTCGGCTCACTGCAAGCTCTGCCTCCCGGATTCACGACATTCTCCTGCCTCAGCCTCCCAAGTAGCTGGGACTACAGGCGCCCGCCACCATGCCTGGCTAATTTTTTTGTATTTTTAGTAGAGACGGGGTTTCACCGTGTTATCCAGGATGGTCTCGATCTCCTGACCTCGTGATCCGCCCGCCTCAGCCTCCCAAAGTGCTGGGATTACAGGCTTGAGCCACCGCACCTGGCCAAGATGTTTAAGAATTAATCTCCAGCATTTCCTGCAGCCCTTCCAAAATTGATCCTCCAAGAAGATTCATGCAAACCTCATTCATTTACTCAAAGCTCATTCTTTCATTCAACAAACTTACACTGAGTATGTGTGATAGGCACAACACTGGGCTAAGAGTCGGGGATGCAAAGAGTAAAATGTAAAATGTATCTTATTTAAACTCATCTAATCCTTCTAAGAGAATACATTCTAGTGCTGGAGATTGACACATAAACTACAGCAATGTGTTCTGGATACTGACACATAAACTACAGCTGAGGAGGTTGTGCTTCCGTGAAAAGAACATAAGATTTAGAATCCTTAGTCCTATGTTTATTACCAACTTCACCCATAGGTGCATGTAAACCTAACCTTGACATATTACTAAACATCTTGGAGCCTAGTTTATCTACCTATAAGAGTTGAACAATCTTAAAAGGATATTGTGATGGTTAGGATATATAAATATATGTATCAGTGTATGTATATAATGATCATATCTTATATATATCACATATAAATAGGATTATGAAGGTTATGGCACAGTTTTCTCCTGGCTTAAGGCTTACTTTAATTAGATATTCTGTAATAGCTCAGCAGCAGAATTGCACTGCAGATATATATATACATAAATATAATATTAGGTTGGTGCAAAAGTAATCACAGCAAAACTGGCCATGTGAATATATATAACAGAGCAATTGCTCAGTTAATAGTTTTAATGAAAATTTAAAGGTCCAGTGATGATAATATCACAAAGTGCCACAAAAGCACAGAAGAGGCAACTACTGTCTGAGGGTTATAATTTCGCTAGGTTTGAAAAGAATTGTTGCTCACCCAACCAAGAATGGGGTAAATGTTATTACCGCAAATTATTTTTCATGAGAAAATGCCCAGAGAAGTGGAAGAGCAGGGTCTTTTCAAGTAGGTGTGGTGGTAGGTAGAATTAGAAGTGGATTCAAATATAGGGCTGATGTAGCTAACTGGGACTAAATTTTGGAGTAAGTTCATTGTGTCCACCCTGGAGGCAATTAATAAGCATGTTCAGAAATGGGATTTATAAAATTGATTCTGGAGACCAGGATGCTAAGGCAATGGAGTAGAGAGGGAGTGGGAGAGAGCAAGATGGAATTTAGAAGGTGAAGGTAATGTTGTACATGAGTGATGATGACCTGAATCTAATATGGATTCGTGGCAAAGAAGATGGAGAGTAGAAAATGGAGTGGGGAGGAATTTATGAGGTGGAGAGAAAGCCCTGATGACTAAGTGGACGTGTGGTATGAGGTGGTAGAGGATCCAAGGATGTCATTGAGCCTGGGCTTTGGAAAGGTTGCCAACATCTATTCTAAGAAGTTGGAGAAAACACTCTTCATGCACTTATAGAAGTCCAAGAGGTAGGGGCTGAGACAAGCCCAACACCCTATTCATTGGCTCAGTCAGATCCTGATAGTAGCTGTGGGCTATTCATGTTGTACTGTGCTAGCATTGCATGGATATCATCACCTAATCTTTAGAGCAATGCTATGAAACAGGTATTATCATTCTCATACTATTCATGAGGAAACTGAGGCTCAGCTGTGTTAGGAATCTAATTGCATACAACGAGCAACCCTTGGAGTTGGAAATCAACCGAGATTTGCCTGATACCAAAGGCCCTGATCTTCACCACTTCCCTCTATCTGTTCCTCCTATAGAGATGTCTACCACATAGGACTCATAAAGAGGATCACCTTTTTAAGTGAAGCTCATGCCTCTCCACCATCATAGATTATTTCCCTTGGTGTAACATGGGAGAACAAATTCTGACTGAAGCCAGGTTGTCTCTCTCTTTTTAAAATTACTTATTTATTTTTAATTTTTAATTTTTGTGGGTACATAGTAGGTGTATATATTTCTCTTTTAAGTTATTTATAATAGCAACATTTGACGTAGGGATAAAACTCACTGTCCCCATTATCTGTATTCATTCATTCACTCATTTACCAGCCACCATCAGTTGGTAGCATTCCACCAATGCTTTCTGCTCTCCTGGCACTGTGCCAGGCTCTGTGTCCACTATTTCAAGATTTATTTTTTTAATTTTTATTTATTTATTTTTGAGACAGACTCATGCTGTTGCCTACGCTGGAGTGCAGTGGCATGATCTCAGTCTACTGCAACCTCCACCTCCCAGGTCCCAGTGATTCTCATGCTTCAGCCTCCCGAGTAGCTGGGACTACAGGTGTTTACCACCACACCAGGATAATTTTTTGTATTTTTGGTAGAGACGGGGTTTTCCTATCTTGGACAGGTTGGTCTTGAACTCCTGGCCTCAAGTGATCTGCCTACCTTGGCCACCCAAAGTGCTGGGATTACAGGTGTGAGCCACCGCGCCCAGCTTGAAGATTTCTAAGGTGTTTCTGGAAAGTTACCCTGCTGACTGTCCTCATCTTACCATCTTTTATGGAAAAACATTTCCCTCTTGGCATTCTGGGAGTTCATAGAGGAATGAAACCTTTCCATGTTCCTCCATTTCTGACATTGTTGGAAACGTTGCAGGTTTTATGTTTTGTTTTGTTTTGAGACAGAGTTTCTCTCTTCTTGCACAGGCTGGAGTGCAATGGCATGATCTCGGCTCACCGCAACCTCCACCTCCTGGGTTCAATATATTCTCCTGCCTCAGCCTCCCAAATAGCTGGGATTACAGGCATGCGCTGCCACGCCCAGCTAATTTTGTATTTTTAGCAGAGACGGGGTTTCTCCATGTTGGTCAGGATGGTCTTGAACTCCCAACCTCAGGTGATCTGCCCACCTCAGCCTCCCAAAGTGCTGGGATTACAGGCGTGAGCCACCATGCCCGGTAGGTCATTTTTAACTTAACATTTGAGGAGCTGTGTTGACACATGTCCTACCCATCAGTCTTCAGGGAAATTAAGGTTTTAATTTCAATCCAGCCTAAACAGGTAGTGGTAAACTCTCCACATCAGGGAGGACCAGGCTGGCCTGCCAGTGGGTTAGGATGCTTCAGGTGTGACTGTTTCATCTACGGAATATGGTGGTTTGCAGAATAAGTGCTACTGGATAGTTCTGGTCACCCAGATACTCATGCCTACTTTGCAAATTAGATTTACTCCCAAAGTGAGCGTACTAATGGAAAGCAGTTTGTATGGCTATCAAAATACAGTCACTACTACAGACAACAGGGTAAGCCTGCCCATCATGAATGAAAAATCACAGACCTCAGAGTTGAAGATCAGAGGGTAGCTAAAACTTTCTTCACTCTAAATTGATAGAATTTTTCTACAAAAATCAGATCATTGCTTTTCTCTTAGGTTTTCAAATTATCTGTTGCAGCATGCACCACATTATATTATATTCACATTTATGGCTGACTTCCAGCTAGTTGTGAGCTCATAGATTTTAGAGATTATGCTGGGTTCACCTTTAGCCCTAATGCTTAGCACTATGCCTGGAACTTAGAGGATCTTAATAAATATCATTCAGAGCTACTACTTTATTTATCATTGTTAACAGGGAAGATCATAGGACTCTACAGAAAAAAAAAAAAACAAAATCTTAATTCATTCAAGGTCCTTCTCTGTACTAGTCTTAACCAAGATGAATGGTAAAAGAATATGTTTGCAGCAGGGTGGAGTGGATAGTTTTATAAATGAAGATGGATTATAATATTATGATATTGTTGTTTTATTATATATCTATCATAAAAGAAAATAATCTTACTAAAGAATAATCTTTGGTCCTTTCAATTAATGTAATGGAGACTCTCAATTTAGCTGGAAGAGAGATTCAGTCTTGCCTGGGCATGTCTCTGGAATTGGTGGGAGCAGCTGCCAGAGGCTGTTTGCATATGGATTGAAGGTCCTCTTGGGAGAGTTCTCATTCTGAAGGAAGAAGTTGCCTGGCAACAAGAGTTTGACCCATAGAGACAGCCTTACCCAACAGAGGAGCAAGGAAGCCTGACTACTGTGTGATGTCTGTCACCTAGATCCCCCTCCCAGCAGGATGACAATTTATACCTAGGAGCTATAGAGAGTAGAGGGTTTGAATGTACAAAGTGGGGGAAAATAAACTTGCATTACTAATCTTTTTTAAAAGAGTGGAGTACAATGCCATGTTTCAGGATCTATGTGATAAACTGAAACATAAATAGAAGGGAAGCATCCCTGCTTTTTTTTTTTTTTTTTTAACTAAAAACAGTTTGGGTATGGTAATGTCACCAAAGCATTCATGACAATGCATGGCAAACCAGCAACAGTACCAGGAGGAAGACTTTGAAGCCCAATAGAGCATGAAGGATAGACCCCTGTAGGATATGATAGTATTCAGATGATACTCATTGGAACATGGATACACCTAGAATAGAGTAGCAGACAGAGTGACAAAGTGATACTCAGCAGAGGACTGAGGGGGAACAGTTGCACCCAGTGGAACAGTGAGTGGATGGAAAATAATGGTACTAGGGGGTGGATGTGAAGCAGCATCTTTGTCTGGGATAATACCTGAGGTTCGTGGTCTCACGCCAAGAAGATTGAGGACACGGACACACACACACGAATGAGTTTAGAAGCTGAGGTTTAATAGGCAAAAGAAAGAGAAAGGAAAACAGCTCTCTCTCAGAGAGAGAGAGAGAGAGAGAGAGAGAGAGAGAGAGAGAAAGAGAGAGAGAAAGAGAGCGCGAGCCTCCCCAGTGGGAATCCCAGCCTGCCTACCGAGTGCACCAGATTTTATACAGAGGCTTGAGGAGGTGGTGTCTGATTTATGAAGGGCCTACAGATTGATTGGACCAGTTGTGACGTTTATATAGAGCGTGGGGAAGGCTGGCTGCCCCACTCCAATCTTATTATGCAAATGGACTTTTCACTTGGCTGGCGCCATGTTGTCTGCTTCTTACTGTACACTTGGCTGGAAAGGAGAAGGGAAGACGGAGCCACAATTTTGAACATGCCTATTCCCAGGTAGCCTTTTCCTACTGGCACAGCTGCTGGCATTCACCTGTGCAAGGTTCTAGCTTGCTTGTCTATGTCTGCAGCTGGATTTTACAGGCTGTTCTTTGTTAGAAAAGAAAATGATTTGGGGGCTGCTTTTCATTAAAAGGAAAACCTTACCCTCACTATCTGCCTAAATGATTTCTTCTTAACTCCTGTATCAGATGTTGATGTCAAAGGGGGAGCCATCAAAGGATTTTAGAGCTCTACTATAAGCCTAATTGAACTAACAACTGCTACTGGACTTAACGAGATCATGAATCTCTAGTCCAGGATGTTAGAAAGCCTGCATCCCATGGCCGTGCACAAAAAGTCACTGATAGTTAACTTTTCTTTTCCAAATGGAATTTTTTTTTGTTCAATGTGGTGCTTTCTTTAAATAAATTCTTTCACAAACTGAGGAATCCTACATTAATTCAAATATTTAATTCATATGCATGTGTTTTCTCCAATTTAGTCCCACAGGGAATTCAGTTAGCTTATAAGAATGCAAACACTTTAGCAAGTTTTAACAAATTCAGAACAAGTGAAACAACTACACTTAATCTCTCTCTACTTTATTTAAACTTTAAATTGGGATTTCAGCTATAGCATTAGTATAAGATGTATGTGAATTTTTGTTTCCATAGCTTCCAAGCTCTTTGGCTGTTCAGTATAGTGTTTATCATAACCCCCACTATTGGGTGAGAAAAGCCAATTTAAGAGACTGAGATGCTAACACTCAAAGAGGGCAAATGACTTCACTGAGTTGTACCCAAAATTGCTGTCTTTTCCTAACAGGTTTTTTTTCTTCATTTCCTTCTTTTGCCTGATCAAATAACACAGAGAAAGTGGTCCTATTTAGTAAGTTGAAATACCTCTCTGATACCCAATGCAATACCCAATAAGTGTACATTGTGCCTTATGGAATTGACAGATCGCTGCGAGGGCCAGGTGAGGCAGTGACTGAGCTGCCCAAAACAAGTGTCAGTGAGTGGCCACATTGATTTTAAGAGCCTATCAAGTAAGCATAAATTAATCATGAAAACAATCAAGTTTAAATTTCAGCTTGTTTGGAGTACCAATCCTTGATAAAAAAGGGGTGGGATAATATTTTTTCCTTGACACTTGGGCTTCCCATTGAACTTGAGTTACTTTCCACCTAAGGGGAAGTGTTATGCATTTTTGGAACAGAACCCAGATCAATGCAATATAGAGTGTATTCTTTTTATTGGTGTTGTACTCTTTATTGTCAATCCTGGAATACCAGATCTAGAAATAAAATGGGAGTAGAATTAGAAGGAAACTAGAATGATCAAATTCCATCTGTATAACAGGTAATGTCATACAGTATTTTATTTTGTGTGTATAATTTTGAGCTTTATCTATTATTTATTTATTTTGAGACAGGGTCTTGCTTTGTCTCCCAGGCTGCAGTGCAGTGGCATGATCATGGCTCACTGCAGTCTCGACCTCTAGAGCTCAAGCAATCCTCCCACCAGAGTAGCTGGGATCACAGGCATGTGCCACCACACCTGGCTAAGTTTTCGTTTTGCTTGATGGGGATGGGTTTTCACCATGTTTCCCAGGCTGGTCTTGAACTCCTAGGCTCAAGTGATCTGCCCATCTTGGCCTTCCAAAGTGCTGGGATTACAGGTGTGAGCCCCAAGCTTTACTATTTTATCTCTTCATAAGCTACTCCAAAGGTTAGTGACATGTATTACCCGGTAATTTTTGAATCACAAATGTCAACACTTTCAGGGTTTGCAGGAACCCTCCAGCTGATGAGTGAGATTAATCAGAGCCCACCATCCACATTTCAGTGATTTCGTTCTATTTATGTTTGCATAGCATTTTATAATATAAATTACATGTTCTAATAGTATTTTAAAATTTGACTATACCTGAAGTGCTCTGAATATATCTTTCAAAAACGTCAAGACTATATGGAACTATGGAACTATCAAAAAGATGTCTGAGGTTGAAGCCACCCGCCTTTTATTTTATTTTATTTTATTTTTTTGAGACTGAGTCTCACTCTGTCACCCAGCCTGGAATGGAGTGGCGCCATCTGGGTTCACTGCAACCTCCGCCTCCTGGGTTCAAGGGATTCCTGTGTCAGCCTCCTGAGTAGCTGGGACTACAGGCATGCTCCACCATGCCCGGCTAATTTTTTATATATTTTTTTTTCATAGAGATGGGGTTTTACCATATTGGCCAGGCTGGTTTTGAACTCCTGACTTCAAGCGATCTGCCCACCTTGGCCACCCAAAGTGTTGGGATTACAGGTGTGAGTCACTGCACCCAGCCAAAGCTACCCTCTTAATAGGAGTTGGAGTTTATGTCTGTTTGCTTCCTAAGACCACACTCTTTATATCAAAATGTGCTACCTGCTTGGAGGTATTTTTGCATATTATGTTCAAGTTTATGAGCAAAATAATTTTAAACTCTGCTTACAGTAAAGTAGTTAGCAAAACCACTGTCTGACCTTGAACTTATTTTGAAGGATGTTTTAGTTGATGGGACCTTAAATCACTGTTAGAGGTGGCTACACCCACCATCTGGCAATATGAAAAGCAATTTTTGCCTTGCAAAGTGAGGTCAGGATCTAAGCCAAGAGACAACTTGTCCAGGGCACAAGGCCCAAAAAGAGCAATCAGGAGACAGAGATGTTCTTCCTTATCTGGTAAATGTGAGATATCTCATACTTTGAGTTAGGGATCAATTCAGATACACCCAGATTCTGACTTCAACATCCTGCCATGGCAGTCAAACGATACTCTAAGGTTAACATTTTTAAAGTTGTTTTTCTTGTTTTTTTGTTTTTTGTTTTTTTGAGACAGGATCTCACTCTGTCGTCCAGGCTGGAATGCGGTGCTGCACCTGTAGCTCACTGTAACTTCAAACCCCTGGGCTCAAGAGATCCTACCACATCAGCCTCCCATACAACTGGGACTACAGGTGCATGCCACCATGGCCAGCTAATATTTTTTTTAGTAGAGACAGGGCCTTGCCACGTTGTCCCACCTGGTCTTGAACTCCTGGCCTCTTGAAGCTATCCTCCCAGCTTGGCCTCCCAAGGCACGGGGATTACAGGTGTGAGCCACCATTCCTGACCCCAAAGTTATTTTTCTGAAAGGAAAACAAAGATTACCCTTAGAGAGTTTAGGGTAGCTTTTCAATAATTAGCTACTCTTGAAGATGACTGACATTCTCTCAAATGCCATTTCCTCATCTTTCCCATGTCTGTCAGTCACATTATTATAACATAGATAACTGGTGTGGGGGGAATCTTACTGGTGATAGTCCAGTGCTCTTTATGACACATTCACTTCTCTAACCCATGGAGACTTCCATAGGATGCTCAGTGTTATCCTAGATCACAGGTGTCCCTGTCCTGATGTCAGGTTAATGAAGGTGGCTTGTGGACTTGGATATTTCTGGGAAATTTTACAAGGGGTAACTAAAGTAAAAGAGAAAGAAATGCAGAAAAATAGAAACAGAAATTCTCACCATAGAAGCTTCATTATGTATTTGCAAGATATTCACACACTCTAGATTTTCTAAGACAGTTCTGAAGTTAAATCACCTTATTCTTAAAAATATGATGGATTATGCTTATGTTTATTTAAGTGTATATACATCTGTGTTGGGTATTCATGTGTAACATTTTAGAGCTCATATTTTCATGGCTGTCTAGTTTTCTTTTTCTTTTTTTTTTTTTTTTTGAGACGGAGTCTTGCTCTTTTCAACCACGCTGGAGTGCAGTGATGTGATCTTGGCTCACTGCAACCTCCGCCTCCTGGGTTCAAGCGATTCTCCTGCCTCAGCCTCCCACGTAGCTGGGATTACAGGCACCCACCACCATGCCTGGCTAATTTTTTTGTATTTTTAGTAGAGACAGGGTTTCACCATGTTGGCCAGGCCAGTCTCGAACTCCTGACCTCAGGTAATCTGCCTGCCTTGGCCTCCCAAACTGCTGGGATTACAAATGTGAGCCACCATGCCCGGCCTGTTTTTTAAGAGACAGAGCCTTGCTGTGACACCCAGGATGGAGTCCAGTAGGGAAATCGTAGCTCACTGCAGACTCAAATTCCTGGGCTCAAGTGATCCTCCCACCTCAGTCTCCTGAGTAGCTGGGACAACAGTCATGCACCACCATGCCTGGCTAATGTATTTGTTTATTTTTTGTAGAGATAGGGTCTTGCTTAATTGCCCAAGCTGGTCTTGAACTCCTGGCTTCAAGTGATTTTCCTGCCTTGACCTCCCAAATTGCTGGGATTACAGGCGTGAGCCACTGCATTCAGCCTGCTCTCTAGTTGAATGACTTCAGGCAAGATACTCAACCTCTATGATCCTAGGTTTCTTCCTTATTACAGCATGGAGACTACTACCTAGGTAATATGGTTATCGTGAAGAGCAAATGAGAATCAGACTAAGCACATTGTAGATATTCAACAAGTTTACACATTTGAAAATGTCCAGAAGGAAATTTATCACAAGTACTTGTCTTCATTGGATAGTGAGACTATGAATGCGTAGCATGTGTATCCCAGGCTTTCCTAGCTTGCCAACACAAGTGACAACTAATTTATGTTAACAACACTAATGGAAACTTAGTGAATGCTTACTATCAGCCAGGCACCCTGCTAAGCTCTCCTCATGGATTATCTCAGAGATCAACCAGATCTTACTGGCTTGTGTCCTCAGCTAGTTGATCAAAATTTAGTTTTATCCAGATCCCAAATATTTTGGAGACTTCCCAGTGACATATTTACATGTCCTTAAATCATTTTTCTCCAAATTCTACTTGACCATTTGAAAATGGATATATGATCCTCAAAGCTAGATCAATGCCCAGTAGTTTTCCTTTTTTCCTAACTCCTAATGGGTGCTGATTTCATGGAGTCAGGAGCCCCTGATAGTTTGAGGTTTCTAAAGTACTGCTGCAGCCAAGGTTAAGCCTGGGATTTGGCCTCGCTCACTATTAACAACTGATAATAAAATGCAATCAGAAATCCCCAATGTTTCTGTTGAAGGATCCAGAATTCTAGCAACCCTAAGATATTGCTGCTGTTGTGCTGGGGATTGGTAGTCCAAGCCCCAGCCATCCCACCAGGTTGTAGCTGCAGTTGAAAAGTCCACTCCTAAGGTCTGTTACACCCAGGAAATCAGTGTCTGGGTCCAAAGGATCATTGGTGGTACACTTCTTTTAGCTCATGAACACACACACCCCATGCATACACTTAGGCAAATGGTGCACACACACACAAACACACATACACCATGGGCATGTTCCCCAACCCCACACATAGTTCAAAGGAAGATGGGTTAAAATTTATCTGTGCTTACCTTGTAACTGATTCTAGATTACTTAGTTCTGAGCTTATGTGTTGCTTTCAGGCCTTCTTGGTCTGTTCCATTTGCTATTCCAGCAACTGACTTCCTTTCAGGGGTTTCACTGCCTTTTTCAGTGACCCCTCCTGGGCTGGGCCTACATAGCCCATGAGACATAGATTTTACCCTGTTAATTTTTTAACATAGTTGGAATCACTATCCCATTCCATATTTCACCAGGGGAATCCCTAGTTCCCTATGTAAATATCAGGATGTACATGGATGCTTGCAGAGGTGAGAAGGGTGCTCCCCAGTTTCAGTCACCAGCTGCACCAATATCCCAAAGGCAGATGCATGTGTTAAATAAAAAGTAATGACAACTAACAGTGAAGATTCTTTATTTTTGAAGCATTTTTCTTGTGATAAAAAAATAGCGACTCTTATCATAGCTTAGGCCTGATTTTTACAATTTTAACTGAAGGTTGGGTGGCTCTGTGGCTCATGCCTGTAATCCTAGCACTTTGGGTGGCTGAGGCAGGAGGATCACTTGAGCCCAGCAGTTTGAGACCAGCCTGGGTAACATAGTGAGACCGTTTCTACCAAAAACTTGAAAATTAGCCAGGCATGGTAGCACGCACCTGTAGTCCCAGCAACTCAGGAGGCTGAGATGGGAAGATTGCTTGAGCCCAGGAGGTTCAGGCTGCAGTGAGCCATGATTGTGCTACTTCACTCCAGCCTGAGTGACAGAGCGAGACCCTGTCTTAAAAAAAAAAAAATAGCCACTGAGTTTAATCATAAGAGGGTATGGAAATTCACACTCTCACTTTGGTGCATTGGGAAAAAAGCTCTCTAACCTACTCCATTACCATAAACAGAGAATCCGTTCCTCTGGTATGTTTCAAATGATCTTACATTATCAATGGATTGATTAACCTCAGTAATGATTTGTTGGACGGCCACTATTAATAATAAAGACTTTTAAATAACTCCTTGTTTCAAAATAATTATTTTTTCACCTTTATTATAATTATATAAAGAAGATGTACCCATTTTATGAGTACATTTCAGTGAGTTGTGACAAATGTTAGCACCTGTCCAATTATCTCCCTAGTCAAGTTCTATAGCATTGCTGTCACTCCCTATCTTAGTCCATTCAGGCTGCTATAAGAAACTACCATAAACTAGGTAGCTTATAAACACAGTTTCTCTCAGTTCTGGAGGCTGGGAAGTCCAAGAACTGGGTGCTGGCATGGTTGGGTTCTGATGAGAACCCTCTTCTGGGTTGCACACTGTTGACTTCTCAAATGGCAGAAGGGCCAAGGCAGCTTTTGGAGTCTCTCTTACAAGGGCATTAATCTCATTAACAGGGCTCTGTACTCATGACCTAATCACTGCCCAAAGGCCCTACCTCTTAATGCTTTCACTTTGGGGATTTGGTTTCAACATATGAATTTGGTAGTGAGGGGTGGGCCGGGCACAGCCATTCATAATATAGCACCTCCCAGGCCAGGCGCAGTGGCTCATACCTGTAATCCCAGCACTTTGGGAGGCCAGGACAGGTGGATCACTTGAGGTCAGGAGTTCGGGACCAGCCTGGCCAACATGGAGAAACCCCGTCTCTACTAAAAATATAAAAATTAGACAGGCATGGTGGTGGGTGCCTGTAATCCCAGCTACTCCAGAGGCTGAGGCATAAGAATTGCTTGAACCTGGGAGGCAGAGGTTGCAGTGAGCCGAGATCATGCCACTGCACTCCAGCACTCCAGCTTGGGTGACAGAGCAAGACTCTGTCTCAAAAAAAAAAAAAGTAAACAAATATATATGTATATATGGCACTGCCCAAATCCCCCTATTAACCTGTCATCTAGGTTTTAAGCTCTGCGTGCATTAGGTATTTGTCCTAATGCTCTCCCTTCCCTTCCCCCCAACCGCCTGACAGACCTGGTGTGTGATGTTCCCCTCTCTGTGTCCATGTGTTCTCATTGTTCAACTCATTTGCAGTCAGTCTCTCCTAAGCACATCCACTAATATTATTTCTATTACTGTAGATTGGTTTTGCCTATTGTAGAGTGTCACAGATATGGACTCATACATGAAGTATCCTGTATTTGGTGTCTTTAATTCAGCATAATGTTGTTGATATCCATTCATGTGTTTGTGTATGTTAATAGTTCATCCCTTTTATTGCAGAGTAGTATTTTCTTGTGTAGATACACCACAGTTTGTCTATCCATTCATCTGGTGATGGACATTTGCACTGCTTTCCACTTTTCAGAAGCTGCTGTGAGCATTCACATGCAAGTCTTTTTGTGGACATATATTTGCATTTTAAAAATACCTAGGGGTGAAACCCTAAGTCCTGTGGCACATGAATGTTTAACTTGAAAAACACTGCCAAATTGTTTTCAAAAGTAACTGTGTAATTTTACACTTACCAGCCTGGTAGGACAGTTCCAATTTCTTATCAGCACTTATTATTGTCAGTTTTGTTTAAAAAAAAATTCTAGAAAGTATATAGTAGTATTATGTGGTTTTAATTTGCATTTACCTAATGATACTGAACGTCTTTCCATGGGTTTATTTGCCACCAATATCTTTTTTTTTTTTTACAACTCTCAATTTTACTTCAACAATTACCTGGATATCAAGTGCTTGAATAAAACTTTTAGTAATATTTAAATGTTTCAGATACAATTTGTCTTATAAATTTACATATAGAAAATTATAATTTTGCATTCTATTTTCTGGAAGATTTTTCTTTTTCCAATAAATTTTTTTTTTGGGGGGATACGTTTGTAGAATGTGAAGGTTCATTACATAGGTATACATGTGCCATGGTGGTTTGCTGCACCTATTAACCCGTCGTCTAGGTTTTAAGCCCGGGGTGCATTAGGTATTTGTCCTAATGCTCTCCCTTCCCTTCCCCCCGACCCCGTGACAGGCCTGGTGTGTGGTAATCCCCTCCCTGTGTCCATGTGTTCTCATTGTTCAACTCCCACTTATGAGTGAGAACATGCGGTGTTTGGTTTTCTGTTCCTGTGTTAGTTTGCTGAGTGATGGCTTCCAGCTTCATCCATGTCCCTGCAAAGGACATGAACTCATTCTTTTTTAGGGCTGCATAGTATTCCATGGTATATATATGCCACATTTTATTTATCTGGTCTATCATTGATGGGCATTTGGGTTGGTTCCAAGTCTTTGCTATTTTAAATAGCGCTGCAATAAACATACGTATGCATGTGTCTTTATACTAGAGTGGTTTATAATCCTTTGGGGATATACCCAGTAATGGGATTGCTGGCTCAAATGGTATTTCTGGTTCTAGATCCTTGACAAGTCGCCACACTGTCTTCCACAGCTGCCACCAATATCTTATACATGGTGAAGTCTATTCAAATCTTTTGCCTACTTAAAAAATTGGAATGTTTAGTTCTTGTATTCAGTTGTAAGAGTTCTTTATATATTGTAGATACAAGTCTTTTGTGAGCATATAAATTAGAGCTATCCCCTCCTCACAAAGTAATGACAGTTTTGTTATTTAAGCCTCATAGCAAAAATACTACATACAGCTAATTTATGTTTAATCTTTTTTATATTTCCAAAATGTATATAATAGAAGATATTAACTTTATTTTTTAAAAAAGAAAAACTGATCATCAGACCTTTGTTTCCACACTTTGCTTCAAAAAGTGTGCTTAGAATACATATATGACTTACCTAGAGTTTTTTTTTGTAATACCCGCCAGTCCAGAAATAGAGGTGGAGAAAGAAAGATGACTTCCCAGCAAAGCTTTGACATATGCAAAATGTAACTTGAAGATGCAGTATCTCTTTTTTTTTTTTCCTTGGCTCCCTAATGTGATGTGCCCCTTCCCCAAGTGCTCCTATCCCAGAAGAGTTTAAGCAGGCTTCTTTCCAGGGTTGTTATTGTATTTTTTTGGATCTATCAAAAGATTTATAGCAGCAGCAAGGCCAAATGAAGGAGGAATTTGTGGGTCTGAGGGGCCTTACTGAGAGGCCCTGAGGTAACACTATATTGTAATGGTTCACCTTACTTACCTTTAAAGAAGGTTTTAAAAAGAGTAAATCAGAGCTGGGTGAGTTAATGTTAGTGAAGGAATACAGCAGCTCTGTCACATGGGCTCCTTTTGTAGGAGGTATCCTTAGGCTTCGTTTAATTTCGAATTGGTATGCAACCAAGAGTGCCTCCTGCATCTCTGAGTGTCTCCACTGTGGAGTGCCCTGGTGGCTCATGAGAATGCATTAAGGGGCAATCCAGGTGGGTGGCAAGACAAGGCAGGACTGTTCACACTACCTCTCTTGCCCCATCACTTTACAGCATTCTTGTACCATCTTATTTTTCTCCAGTGACATAAAGAGCACTCTGCCTTGCTTTGTCAACTACTGAAGCCTTGTAATACCTATCAAGACAATAAGTGAGGGAGAGCATTTGAGGAGCTAGAGAAGAGAGCTGAAGGAAAACAGCTACTAAATTTAGTAAGAGAACTGGTGTGACTTACATGAGATATAGAAAACAGGCAAACCCATAGAAGCAGAGAGCAGAATGGTTGTTGCCAGCAGCTGGGGGACAGGGGTAAATGGGGAGTTGCTATTCAGTGGGTATAAAGTTTCAGTTGTACAAGATAATTGAGTTATAGAAATCTGCCATACAACATTGTGCCTACATTTAACAACATTGTATGATAAATACAGCATTATCAATATATTGAAAATAAAGACAGTAGAGCTCATGTTTAGTGTTCTTACCACAATAGAGAGAGAGAGAGAGAGAGAGACAGAGAGAGGGGGGAGTGAGATATAAAGAGAGCTTTTCCAGGTTTTAGTTTGTGAGACATGATTTGCTTTTTTAATTGGAGTTTGGGATGAAGAAGAGGAAATTTGGGGTTCCTGCCAACGTATGAGAGAAGAAAAAAATAGCAAAATGGAAAAAAAGATAATTTTAAGAAGATCTTCATGAGTGTGCATAAATTATGATTCCTTTTTGACCTGTCTAAAGGCTTGATTTGCTTTTCTATTACTTTCTAGTTCCAGGGTGGTGTTACTTTGTGTGCAGTTATGATACTGAGTGGTGGTTCATGTTTATACAGTTTGTACTTGGAAGCCATGAGGGTGTGAGATTCTTTGGGAAGACACATCTCACTTTTATCTAAGAAGTTTTGAAAGGATGCCAATGTTGAGTTAAAAGATAACCCCTACTGTGGGAGTATGTGTCAGTGATTTCCTCACTCAGAGTTCTTAGGACCAAATTAAACTCCAGGAGATGGTCATGTCACTTGTTGAAATCTCAGGCACTCTTATCAGGACCTCTTAACCTCCCTATGGTTGGAGCATCTTCTACTGACTTATTTAAGGTTATTAGTAGGACCATTTTTTGGAAAGATGTCCTGCAATTCAACATGTTTGTAATGAGACATACCAACTCTGAGTCATCACATAATGGAGATTTCCAGAATAATTGGAGAGAATTTGGGTTCCTGTCAGTTAGATAGTATTTGATTCTGTAGAAGGAGCTGACTCTTGCTGCTATGGTTTCAATGTGTTCCCCAAAGTTCATGTGCCGGAGATCTAATCCCCAATGCAACCATGTTGGGAGATGGGGTAGCCTAGTAAGAAGTGATTAGGCCAGGAGGTCTGTGTTCATGAATGGATTAATGTTATCATAGGAGTGGGTTTGTTAGCATGAGTGAGTTTTTGTAAAAGTTTGGCCCTCTCTTGCTTTCTCACTGTCTCCCTCCCTTACCCTCCAACCTTCCACCATGATTGACACAGCATAGAGGCCCTTGCCAGATGCCAGTGCCATGCTCTTGGACTTCTCAACCTCTAGAACCATGTGTCAAATAAATCTCTGTTTGTAAATTAACCAGTCTGTGGTATTCTGTTATGGCAACAAAAAACAGACTAAGACACCTGTGGAGAGTACAGATTGATTATGGATGAACTATCTCTACCCGTAGAGAACCAGACAGAAGCAGTAGCAGTCGCTGGTTTAGAATGTGTATCAGGCACTGTTGGGTTTTGCCCAAAGCTCCTCTGATCTCTTTTCAGCACTGTGGTCCTATGCCCCGGTCCTTGCTGCTAATGGCTAATAGCTAATGGTATCTATTTGCAACTTCCAGAACATTGCTCTGTGGGAGTTTGCTTTCAGATTCCCTTTCCACTTTGTGTTGGTTCATAGCCAATGACTGAATGTCACGGGAGTAAAATAACCCAGCTCCTGGAACAGCAAACTCCAGGGTTGAATTTATGCTAGTGGTCTCTGTGAGAGCAGGCTGAGGCTGGAGTTTCAGGATCACACCTTGTTTGGTTTCATCTTTCCTTACTCTGCTTTTCTGGCTCCCTTTTTGATTTCTTCTGGAAGCTCTCCCTCAATAAATTACTGCACCTAAATTTCTGACTCAGTGTTTCCTCCTGGGACAACACAACTATAACCAGAATGGTGAATGTCTTGGAGATATTGAAAAAAGCCAGCAGAAAATATAAGCTGTTTGTTGTTGCTGTTCTTGTATCGGTGTCTCATGGGCAGTATGTGTCCACAGTCGTATAGAATTGTCGATTTTCAAGGTTTCGTGGCGACTCTGTCCAAAAGAACTGACAAATAATCACAATTAACCTGGCTCTGCCATGTAAGCATAGTTACTAACAGTCCACTGTTTAAATTTTGAAAGCAAAGATTATGCATTATATAATTTAAGAGAATCTTGTTTTGAGACTGAGCCAAAGTAACACAATTTATTATATCTTAGGATTATAAAGAAAGAAAATGTAACAAATACATGGAAGATAGGATGCCTAAGATTGAGAAGACTTCAGTTCTTATTTGACCATTTTAGGAATGCATGTGATATCTCAAGTTTAAGAACTTAAAACAGAACTACCATTTGAAACAACAATCCCGTTACTGGGTATATACCTAAAGGAATAGAAATCGTTCTACCATAAAGACACATGTACATCACAGCACTATTTCCGATAGCAGAGACATGGAAGCAACCCAAATGCCCATCAGTGGTTAGACTAGGTAAAGAAAATGTGGTTCATACACACCATGGACCACTGCACAGCCATAAAAAGAACAAAATCATATCCTTTGCAGCAACATGGATGGAGCTGGAAGTCATTATCCTAAGCCAACTAACACAGGAGCAGAAAACCAAATCCCACATTTTCTCACTTATAAGCAGGAGCTGAACATTGAGTACACGTGGACACAAAGAAGGGAACAGTAGACACTAGGGCCTACTTGAGATTGGAGAGTGGAGAAGGATAGGTACCTATTGGGTACCTATGCTCATTAAGTGAGTAACAAAATAATATGTACACCAAACCTCTGTGACACAGAATTTACCCATATAACAAACCTACACATGTACCCCCTGAACCTAAAATAAGTTGAAAAGAAAAAAAAATGTAAACCAGTACCAATTATCACACTGAAAACAAAATCTTTTGTAAACATTGTAACACTAATAAAACTTGAAGGTAAACAAGAAATAGATTTGTCTCTTCTTATTAAGAATTTCATCCTACTGAGATTCACAAACACACTAATATATTACCTTATCTTCTAATGACTTCAGGGATAATGATTTTATATATACATATAGGATTGTTATTGTTGTGAGAGGGAAGGAAGTTAAGTAAGAGCAATAGCTTAGTTTTTGAAATAAAAGTTTACAATGTTTTTACTCCTGGTAAAGAGAAGTTTTGGAAGAATCACTGGACTTATTTATATCGATAATTCTAAACTATCTTTGTTATCTGAAAAGTAAATAGTTGTTATTTAAGCATTAAAATAAAAAGCAAATGCAAGCTTCTTTATGATTTAATCTAGTGAATAGTTACCACCTTCCTGGGTATAGTAACTGATTCATTTTTTACTCTAAATGAAGAGGCAGTTTCTGCTGGAAAGAATTACTGGTTCATCATATTACATGGGAAAACACAGTCAGGGAATTGAAGGACACTTAGCATAATTTTGAGAACTTAACTGTGCACCAGATAATACGTGGAAAAAGGACTCAATTATATTAAAATTTAATCGCTCTTGTAGAAACCTTCGCTATATGCCTAGCAACTGAAGAATGATACTAAAAAATATGATAAAGTCATTAACTGACATATTTGCCAAGAATTCTAATGAGATGGGAATAAATGATCAAACTATATTACATTTTTAATGTAAAATATTTTACTATCTAATATTTTAATATTAAAAAAGTAAACATGTACTCTCAATCTTATATATTAAATATGCATGGAAAATATGGTATTATGATACTTCATAAAGAATATTAATGAGTATTCTTTGATGGTAGAATCGTAAGTGATGTTTATTTTCCTCTTTATATGTTTGTGTCTCTTTAAAATTTTCTACAATAAACATCCATTCATAATTATAAAAATAAACACTTTTATGGAAAAAACTCAGTTCTATCAGATATAGCTAGGTGGGTTTGAGGCTGGAGCAAAACTTGAGCAAGACTGTTTCTCCTGCCATTTTGTAATTTTGTATCCAATGTTGGAGTCTCAGCTTTCTGAGAGCAGACATCACTGTGTTGCATATGACTGGTATGTGGCAGGCAGTCCATAGATAAGTGTTAAATGAATCAATAAATAAAAATGATGAGGAGCAAAGATGGGCAACCAACTTAAAGAAGCAACATGTGGAAGTAAATGAAATTGGTAAATATCAATGTGGAAATGAAAAACCACAGATAATTCAGCAAGGTTGCAGTGTAGGCAGTTAGAGGGCTGGGGTAGGAAATGATGTCTCAGTCTCTGCATTACAGTGTCTTATTGTCCCTATGACATCCTGCCAAATGCTTATTTCCCCCCCCCCCCCATTTTCTAGATGAGAACTGAGTTTTCCTAAGCTTAAGTGATTTGTTCAAAGTTGCAACATTGTTAAGTAGAATTCAGATTTGAACCCAGCTCTATCCTGCTTCCAAGGAGCCTTCTTGTTCCCCTGCACTGCAGAGACAGAGGTCTGGAAACCTGTGTAAGCAGATAGGCTCTTGCAGGTAACAGAATGCCATTGAGTTTTGAGAAGAGGAATGACGGGATTTGTAGGGCATGAAGCTGAGCCAAGGGGCAAATCACTCATCTCATTTCTCCCTTCCAGTATCTCTTATGTTACCTTTACAGTACCTGAACTCCCACCCTTCTTGCCCCTTTGGGTTAAGGTTCAGAAGAGCTTGGGTAAAATGCTATTGTTACCTAGGAAGGGTATCCCAAGGCATGAATAAGTTTTCAGTATGCATTATCAGAGGGTAAACCCCTGAAGGAAGTGGACACATTTCTTTTTTTTTAAATTCAATAATCCTTTATGGAATACTTACTGTGTGCCATTCACTGTCTAGATTTTTGATACACACCATGAATGAGACCGATACTATCTCTGCCTTTTTAGAATGATGGCCTAAGAAGCAGAAGTGATCGTTTTTGTTGCATATGGGAGAAGGTAGACAAAAAGTTTGAAAAGGTAAAGTGATGATGCAAACAGAGTCCAGGTAGGGCAGAGAATCCACTATGGAAGCCAGGCATTACAGAGGCTCACATGGTGGCCTGAGAAAGGGAGGAACTCGGACAGGGAGCTTGGAGATCCTGTATTTCACAGTGGAGCTGTCCTCCCATCCTTAAAACGGCGTGACAACATCACGTTTCCTCTCTAGATAACCTCAGTCTAGGGAAGGGATTAACACAGTAGAACTATAGCATGAATCTTGCCTGCAAGAGAAAAATGAGCTTTGAATCATTAACAAGGGAATTGCTGCTACATACTAATGATGCTATTTCCCGGCCCTGGTCTTTTTACATTAATGCACCCTATGGTGTGAACTGAATGATATAAAACTGATTACAGGCTTTGGAGATATTTCTGGTTTTGATTGTTTTATGTCATGCACCACTTGTTTAGATTATGAATTAACTAATCTGCGTTACTCCCTAAGTTTTAAGATTGAAAAGCCCTTACTCCTTTCTCTGATACCAAATTAATATAACTATCTCTGATGACAGCCAATGAAGACTAAACAATAGCCATTCGTGTGATTTACTTCACACACACAGGGTCCCCACAACTCCCACCCATCTTTTCTAATGATTGAGAGAATGTCTCCAGTATTACGAATAATTTATTCTAGACTCAATGTCATTTATCTTAGCTTGTAGCAGCCTGCCTTGTGCACCTTAGACTCAACAAATATTTATTTAATTTATAATTTTTCATATATTTTTATCTATTTTGAGGAATCTAGCTGAACATAACAATTCTAAATAGGACAAAAAAATAAAATTATACTAAAGGATATTTACCATATCTTAAGATACAGGAAACAGTACAGTCTCTTTCCTAGTCTAGCTCACACACCACTCAACACTTCTGACACTAAAATGAGTGTGCAATGAGAGATAGGTAAACCTGAACTGATTTTTTTTCCCTACTCGCTTACACAGCCACTCATATGACACAGAATGCTTCTGTGACCAGATGTGTGGGGGGGTTTTCTCCTCACACCAACCAACTGGATGTTCTATAATTCAATTTAATTCTGATGCTATCTGCCTGAAGATAGTGTCAGATCCAACACGTTAAAGGCAAAGATGCTAGTTACAAGTAGTAGGTTGTCACCTATACTTCTGACTGACCAGCTGGCTATAAACTGGGGCTCCCATCACTCACTCCTTGGATTCAATTAATTTGCTAAAGTGACTGGTAGAATGCAGGGAAGTGCCTTACTTACGTTAACCGACTTATAAAGGATTTTACAAGGGATGCAGATGGATGCCAGATGAAGAGATGGATACGTTAAGGTATGGAGGAAGGGGCACAGAACTCCTGGGTCTCTCTGCAGGTGCATCACCCTTTAGGAGTCTCCATGTGTTCAGCTATCCAGAAGCTCTCAGAACCCAGTGCTTTTGCTTTTTTATAGAGGCTTCATTACCAAGGCAAGATTGATTACAACATTGATCACTGGTAATTAATTTAACCATTAGCACTTCTCTCCCTGGAGGTCAAGGGGATGAGGCTGAAAGTCCCAGTTCTCTAATCATGCTGTGGTCTTTCTAGTGACCAGCCTCCATCCTGAAGCTATCTAGGGTCTCCCAGCTATTAGTCATCTCATTAGCATACAGAAAACACTCCTAACAGGAGATTCCAAAGAGCCATGTGTCAGGAACTGGAGATAAAGATCAAATATATATATTTCACAGTGTCACACCATAGTATTATGGAGATGGAGATCAAATATGTATTTCACAATGTCACACCATAGTATTATGTATGGTATAAAAAAAGGAAAGACTCTAAGCATCTAAATATGCTAATATAGGAAATTATTAAAATAAGTAGGGCTTTTCAAATGATGAAACAATATACAGCCATGTAATTTTTTTTGCAATAACAGGGAAAGATGGTGATGCCAAGGCATTATGCAAGAAAACTGGGGGCAGATTTTATTAACATTATTACAATTTTGTAAAACATATGTAGAAATCTTAGAAAGTATGCTAAAGTGAAAAGAGTGGTTTTCTTTGGATAATGATACCATGAGCAATATTTTTTTTATTTGAAATAGGTTTTTCCAAATTGGAAAAACTATTCTTGAAAAAAATTTTCTATACTTATCCAATCATCAATCATATGCTTGTTTGAGGGAAAATTATGCAAATTCCTCTGAAAGTCTGTTGTAGCTATGAAGCCCAGAAAACTGGAAGAATTTCTGGGCAATGGCAAGTCAGTGCTGATACCTTTCCCTAACTAAGAAATGTCTCAAACATGGGTCACTCTACGGGACACTGGAAATTCCCTACACCACTCTGAGGGGTTGACTACTGATCTTTGCTGACACTTCAAATGGTATTAGAAAGTGGACTGGGCTCAGGATTAGAGGTACATACTTATGTCGAGAGCAGATGAGAATCACTCTACTCCTTAGGAAGGGCTTCAGGTTATGCCTGTAATCCCAGCATTTTGGAAAGCTGAGGTGGGTGGATCATTTGAGGCCAGGAGTTCCGAACCAGCCTGACCAACATGGTGAAACCCCATCTCCACTTAAAAAAAAAAAAAAAAAAAAAGGAAAATAAAAAATTATCCAGGCTAGGTGGTGGTGCACACTTGTAATCCCAGCTACTCGGGACGCCGAGGCAGGAGAATCACTTGAACTCAGGAGGTGAAGGTTGCAGTGAGCCGAGATCATGCTGCTGCACTCCAGCCTGGTAACAAAGTAGGACTCTGTCTCAAAAAAAAAAGAAAAGAAAAAAAGGGCTTCAGGAATCACAGAGCTAGCTTATGATTCTGTTCTTTTCAGACAGCTGGTTAGTGGTAAAATAATGCTCCCTGTCCTGACTCCTAATTCAGTTCTACTTCCAACACATTAAGTTGAACCCTATGAAATTGCCATATTTGTAGATCAAAATGGTAAAATAATATGAATTTTGTTTGGTTCAACCACATAGGCTTGCTCACCTTGATGCAATTTATAGAAGTTTTTTTTAAAAAGAGTTTCAAATCAAAGCAAAACAAATTTATACTTTTAATGACGCCTGAATTTTTTAAAGAGACAAACTTCCCTACGTAATCAATGTTCTGATTCCTAAATCAGACCTTCGGTGTAAAAAGAGAAAGTCCCAAGTAAAAGTGATACATTTATTTACACTGTGTAAATGACTTAAAGTAAACCCTTTCCTAGAGGTCAGGTTAAGCAGAAAAACATTGAGTTCCTGAAAGGCTGGATAAAAAATAGAATAGGAAATAAATATATATTCAAATATTACTTGATACCGAGCTAGTCATTTTCATAACTGTCATTGTATTTAGCCCCTTCCAATGTCTTTTTGAGCTAAATATTATCATCCTTTTTTCTAATGGGTAAACTGAAGTAGCCTGAGGTTAACTAAATTGTCCAAAGTGACTCTGATGGCCGAGTACTCCACATCATGATTTTTTTTCCCTATATTTTACTGCATCCATAAGAATTGTTGCAAGGCTTATATATTCTTTTCTAACTAAAAAAGTACTCTTTCTGATTAATGTATTAACTTGGATTGGTTTCAAATTTCACAGTGGTAAAAGACATCTAGTTTAAAGTCCTGTCAAATCTTCAGAAGCCGGTCATAGTGTGTAACAAAGCTATAAGATTTTCTCTCCTGTTTCTGGTTTTTTTTTTTTTGGCTTCCAATTTAGTTTCTCCTCCAACTCACCTGAGTTTTTGCTTTTTAAAAGTACAAACAGTAGCAAGATTCATTTCTAGCATGATGTAGTGAGGAGGTCAATAAATCCTTTACCCCAAAAGCAGTAAAAATCTGGATAAAACTGTTTAATACCAGCCTTTTGAGTGCTGCAGAAATTGACCCAAGGCTTAAAAATCCAAGAAGCATTTATTCACAAAAGCTACTGAACTTCAAGTAAAATCGGCATGAGTCATGGTGTTTTCGTCTAAGCAGTTTCTACCCCTCCTCTCCCTACCCCAACCCTGTGGGCCTGGCAGATGGACCAGGGCATGGCAAGCCAGGAAGACCAGGATCTTTGCTCACAGCGCCAGAGGAAGTTCATTCATTGGTGTGTTATTAAAGTTGTTCTTAGTCTCTTTAAAAGATAGAAGGTTAATAGAAAATTAATATTATTGCTGAGTACATAGCATATACGGATGTTCTTTCCAGAAAGCTGTTCAATAAGACAGCACAAAAGAAGAGAAAGGAAAAGATGTGTATATTAAAGTTTACTGTATTGAGTTAGCATAATTTTGAAGTAGACTGTACTATGTTAAGATGCGTATTATAAACCGTAGATCAACCACTAAAAGGTAGTTCGAGAAATATAGGGAAAAACTCAACAGAGAAATAATATACTAAAAATATTGAAGTAACATGAAATAAGTTATAAAGGAGAAACAGGAACAAAAGACACAGACAAATCAAAATGGTAATTGCAAATCCAACCATACCAACAATTACACTAAATGTAAATGGAATAATGAGTAAGTGTCTGTTAAGGTGATAGTGATAGGTATAATTAGTGGAATTAGGGCTGTTGAAGTAAGGAAGGAGTATACATTTACTACTTTTATTTGGAGTTGCACCAATATTTTGGTTCCTAAGACCAATGGAAAACTCTTATCCTTTAAAGATTGAGAAAGCTGTATTAAAAACACTCCACTCAAAATGTAGATTGTCAGACTATATATAAAAAATCAAGATCTAGTGTAATGCTACCTACAATAAATGGACCTTAGATTCAAAGAAACAAATAGGCTAAAGTAAATAAATGGAGAAAGATATACCATGCAAACAGTAGCCATAATATAGCTACTGCAGATCTCTTAATATATACTTTAATGCAAAACAACTTTTAAAATGAAGAATAAAGTTAGAGGACTTACACTACACAGCTTTAAAATGTACTATAAATCTTCAGTACTTAAAACAATGTGGTATCACGTAAAGATAGACATAGAGATCAAAGGAAAAAAATGAAAGTTCAGGGATATATCCTTACATGTATGACCAAGTGATTCTTTACAAAGATGCCAAGATAACAGAAATGAAATGGTGCTATGACAATTGGCTATCCACATATGCAAAAGATGAAGTTAGACCTTTTGCTTACTGTATTAGTCAGGGTTTTCTTAGAGGGACAGAACTGATAGGAGATATATGTGTGTGTGTGTGTGTGTGTGTGTGTGTGTGTATATACATATATATATGTATATATATACATATATATATGTGTATATATACATATATATATGTATATATACACAGAGAGAGAGAGAGAGAGAGGAGTTTATTAAGTATTAACTTACACGATCACAAGGTACCATAATGGGCTGTCTGCAAGCTGCGGAGCAGGGAAAGCCAGTCCGAGTACCAAAACTGAAGAACTGGGAGTGCAATGTTCGAGGGCAGAAAGCATCCAACATGGGAGAAAGATGTAGACTGAGATGCTAGGCCCACCTCTCCACATTTTTTGCTTGCTTTATATTTGCTGGTGGCTAATTGGATGGTGCCCACTGGATTAAGGGTGGGTCTGCCTCCCCCAGTCCACTGACTCAAATGTTAATCTCATTTGGCAACACCCTCACAGACACACCCAGGATCAATATTGCGTCCTTCAATCCAAATTGACACTCTGTATTGACCATTACATTTACACATACAAAAAAAAAGCCTCAAAATGAGTTATACATGTAGATGTCGGTGCTCAAACTATAAGACTTTTAGGAAAAAATGTGGGAGAAAATATTTGTGACCTTGGCCTAGGCAACAGGTTCTTAGAGATGATACTATTAGTCATCAAAAAAAAAAAAAAAACCAGATGATTGAACTATATTAAAATTAGCAACTTCTGTGCTTCAAGAGATACCTTTAAGAAAATGAAAGATACAGCTGAGAAAAGATATTTACAAACCCTTTATGTAATAGGGAATTTGTATTCATGAAACATAACTCTTACAATTTAATAAGAAAAATCTAGTGAACAGTATGAACAAAAGGTTTGAGTAAACATTTCATCAAAAACATGGGAGCAGGACATGGTGGTGCACTCCTATAGGCCCAGCTACTTGGGAGGCTGAGGCAGGAGAATCTCCTGAGCCCAGCAGTTTGAGGCTGCAGTGAGCTCTGATTGCCCCACTGCACTCCAGCCTCATGACAGAGTGAGACCCTGTCTCTGAAAAACATAAAATAGACCAGCCTGTGCAACATGGTGGTGAGACCCTATCTCTAAAAAGTAAATAGCTAAAAATGAAATAAGAAATTATTTTTAAAAATATGAATTACTAATGAGCACTTGAAAACGTGTTCAGCACCATTAGTTAATAAGAAACACAGTGAGATACCGCTTTAAACACACTAGGATGACCGTCATGAAAAGACAGTTACCACCAAATGTTGGCAAAGGGTTGGAACTGAAAGGGGAAAAATTAAGGTAATGGTTAAAGAGGCTGGTAGAGACAGAAGCAAGAGTCTGGCACCTGGTGTGTAGCATGATATTTAGGAAGCTTCAAAGATGGAGAAACTGTTGGAAATGTAAAATGGAACAACAACCTAGGAAAAGTTTGGTGCTTTCTTAAAGAGTTAAATAAAACTGACCATATGACCCAGCTGCTCTATTAAGAATCTACCCAAGAAAAATGAAAATTATGTCTTCATGCAGATTGTACACTACTGCTCATAGCAGCATTATCTCTAAGAGCCAAAAATGGAAGATAACCCACATGTTTATAAATTAGTAGACAGACAAGATGAAATGTGATATATCCATATAGCAGAAGACTATTCAGTAATTAAAAGGAACTGAATACTGATCACCAGTATACTGATGTATACTGCAATATGAATAAAACCCAAAACCTTTATTCTAGGCACAAAAGACTCTATATTTTATGATTCCATTTTTTAAAAATATCCAGAAAAATAATTTATAGAGACAACAAAAATATAGGTTGCCTGGGACTGGGGGTGAGAACAGTTTAAAAGCAAACATGCTTGAGGGAATTTTGGGGGGTGATGGCAAAGTTATAAGCCTGGATTGTGGTGAGAGTTGCACAAGTCTACATATTTGCTAAAGGCATTGAGCTGTAAAATTACAAAGAATGAATTTTATGGTATGTGAATTATACCTTGATATAAAAGTAAAGTATAATGTGAACCTGGAAAAGAACATACATAGGGAAAAACTGGCTATGACCCCTTGATGCGTTCTTCCAAGGTGAGAATGGGAACCACTGATTATTTACACTGCTTGGTGTGGAAAGTTTGAAGCCCTCGCCTTGAACTAGCATGGGAAGGTAGCTCTACCTTGAAGAGCCTCTTGTTTTTGTTCTTGAAACTGCTGGGATGGTCATGGCTTATGTCTTCTGGGTGTAAAACTACTCATCAATGCTTGCTCCTTTTCAGTATTTTGGGGTCTCTTCCAGGGTGTAGATTTTAAGCTAGAACCAAATTGGGTGGCACGTCTCCTCTTTAGGGTTTACAATGTGAAACTGATAATGTGAGAAGTTCCACTGGAGGAAATTAGTACTTGGTCCTAACTTGGGACCAATAACAGAATGATGCAAAGTAGCTATTCAGGTTTAAGTATGTGGAATAACAGGATATTTGTTTCAGAAAGTTGAAAAACTATAGCAACTGAGAAAGATGGTGGCTTACCTCTTCATATTGTCATAAATATCTACCAGAATAGAATGGAAACAATAAAAACAAAAAAGGTTTAAGAATAAGAAAACAAAGCTGTTACTAAAATCAATAATATAGGAAGCTTTATAGAATTTTGCAACAGAATATTACAACCAATGCATGTGTGAAAAGCTTCTTCTTAGGCCTTGTATCTCAAAGATATTAACATTGCCGTTTTCCTTTTTTATGAACACTTACAAACTTGCCATTGAATTCATTGCTGTGAATTCAACCATAACAATGTCAGGTTTCCAAATTCTCAAGATCATGGAAAACAACCAACTTGGAAATAATAAAGCATACACTTTAGATTTACTTTCCAATGTTTGACAATTAAGGATTTTCTTAAAAAGATTTATAACATTATTCCTTGATGTTTATTGGGTAACTTTCATCATTTTCAAAATTTCATGAATTCTGAAATTAGCCTTTTAAATATAGCTATTGGGTATAGATATGGAATTTTCTTGGAGAGAAAAAATATTTTATTACTTCACTTCCCTTATTAAATGCTATTTTTATTGGGAAAAAATGTTTTGTTGGCTATAAAATATATAGTGTCAATAATTAAATAGTATATGCATTAAATCAACACTAGAGTAATTTTCCTTAGGAAATTTGTTCACAATAAACTAAACAACTATAATTCTATTATAAATACTAATAGGGATTAAAAAAGACAACCAAGTTCTTTTGTGCCAGTAAGACTGAGAAAGCTCTTTTGTCCATGACAGAGTACTGAATAAAATTTGATTTTTGACGTCTGGTTTCTGGAGGAGAGTGAGGCTATGACTGGCATGAAAATAGTTCAGGAATATTACCATCAAGAGTTGGGGAGAGGCTGACGGCACAAAGGTGGCATGTGAGTTTGCAAGAGAGTTAAAAGGAGAAAGATGGAAGGGGTTGGGGTTGTAGATGTGTAGATGTGTAGGTTGTAGATTTCTGAGACCTCTGTTCAGTTCCATTGGTCTATATATCTGTTTTGGTACCAGTACCATGCTGTTTTCGTTACTATAGGCTTGTAGTATAGTTTGAAGTCAGGTAGCATGATACCGCCAGCTTTGTTCTTTTTCTTAGGATTGTCTTGGCTACACAGGAAGACCTAAAACCATAAAAACCCTAGAAGAAAACCTAGGCAATACCATTCAGGACATAGGCATGGGCAAAGACTTCATGACTAAAACACCAAAAGCAATGGCAACAAAAGCTAATATTGATAAATGAGATCTAATTAAACTAAGGAGCTTCTGCACAGCAAAAGAAACTTATCAGAGTGAATAGGCAAACTACAGTATGGGAGAAAATGTTTGTAATCTATCCGTCTGACAAAGGGCTGATATCCAGAATCTACAAGGAACTTAAACAAATTTACAAGAAAAAAAACCATCAAAAAGTGGGTGAAAGATATGAATAGACACTTCTCAAAAGAAGACATTTATGCAGCCAACAAACATGAACAAAAGCCCATCATCACTGGTCATTAGATAAATGCAAATCAAAACCACAATGAGATGCTACCTCATGCCAGTTAGAATGGCGATTGTTAAAAAGTCAGGAAACAACAGATGCTGGAGAGAATGTGGAGAAATAGGAATGCTTTTATACTGTTGGTGGGAGTGTAAATTAGTTCACCCATTGTGGAAGACAGTATGGCAATTCCTCAAGTATCTAGAACCAGAAATACCCTTTGACCCAGCAATCCCATTACTGGGTATATACCCAAAGGATTATAAATCATTCTATAAAGACACATGCACACGTATGTTTCTTGTTGCACTGTTCACAATAGCAAAGAATTGGAACCAACCTAAATGCCCATCAATGATAGACTGGATGAAGAAAATGTGGCACATATACACCATGGAATACTATGCTGCCATAAAAAAGGATGAGTTCATGTCCTTTGCAGGGACATAGATGAAGCTGGAAACCATCATTCTCAGCAAACTAACACAGGAACAGAAAACCAAACACCACATGTTCTCACTCATAAGTGGGAGGTGAACAATGAGAACACATGGACACAAGGAGGGGAACATCACACACTGGAGCCTGTGGGGGTTGGGGGGCTAGAAGAGGGATAGCATTAGGAGAAACACCTAATATAGATGATGGATTAATGGGTGCAGCAAACCACCATGGCACGTGTATCACTATGTAACAAAACTGCACGTTCTGCACATGTATCCCAGAACTTAAATTATTAAAAAAAATAGATAATAGTAGTGAAAAGGAGGGACTTGGCTTGTGTCATCACATTTAGGAAGTTTCAATGAATCAGGGAGTGTTTTCCTTCCACAAGACTGCTCTGCACTGGCAAATATCCCTGCTGGCTTTAAGGACTGCTTGGGATACATTCCAGGTCACGATTGTTTTTGTCATCTGTCATATAAAGAGCTGAGGGTTGTGAGACAGGGGTTCACCTCTGTCACCCAGGCTGGAGTGCAGTGGTGTGATCTCGGCTCACTTCAACCTCCTCCTCCTGGGTTCAAGCCATTCTCCTGCATCAGCCTCCAGAGTTGCTGGGATTACATGCACCTGCCACCACGCCCAGCTAACTTTTGTATTTTTAGTAGAGATGGGAGTTTCACCTTTTTGGCCAGGCTGGTCTCGAACCCCTGACCTCAAGTGATCTGCCTGCCTTGGCTTCCCAAAATGCTGGGATTATAGGCATGAGCCACTGCACCCAGCCTATTTTCTGTTATTATAAATGCAGGGTAAAAATCATTTTTTAAAGCTGCCTGATACATCTTTTTATTCTCCATTTTCTTGGTATCACAAATGATACTGCAATGAACATTTTTGTGCATAATTAGTTTTTTCTACATATTGCAGAATATTTACATAGGGCAGTTGCCCATAAATATAATTGGTGGGCTAAAATTAATAAACATTAAGGTTTAAGGCTCTTGATAGGTATATTTTATGTTTCTTCCTTAGCAGTTGCATGTCTATCAGCAATGCTAGTGTCCTCTTCACCCACAATGACGCTGTATATCATCATTTTAAGAAGTTACTTGCTAATTTTGTATTCTCTAAACTAAAGCTAACTCTCTAAACAAATTCAAGATAAAACAACAAAAACAAAAGTAATATCGTAGTAGAACCTAATCTTTCTTCAGTGCGTGCTGTGGACTAAATGCTTTATGTGAACTCACTCTGTATTCCACTGACCTTTTTCAGGTGAATATTACATTATGTCTAGTCAAAAAATGAGTAAATAGAGAAACAGGTTATGCAACTATCCCAAGTTTAAATTGCTGGTATGCATACTTCCAATTTATTACCAACCTACCAGTTTGTATTCATCCTATTTATAAATTAGGACACTTGTATTCTACCCACTGACTAATGCACATTCCAATATTTTTTTCTTTCTCTGTATATGCCCCTACCCCTTTTTTTTCTGCTGTGGTGGACTCCTATTCCTTCTTTAGAGATGAGTCACCACTCTGTGAGGTCTTCCTTGTAGTCATCACCTTCCTTGAGTAATTCTGTCACCTTAATGGTTCTGCAGCGCTGTCATACAGGTAAAATTACTTTTGGGTATGCCTTTCTTTCCTGCTAAAGAACTGCCTTTGCCAGAACACAGAAAATGTGCCATGCAATGCAAGGCCTCCTTCCTACCTCCATTCCCTGGGTGGATGGGCACCAGCACAGGAATGTTTATTGTTGGATGTGGCTGGGCTCAGGCCACTTCTCTCTCTCCTGGACCTGTCTTACATTCATGGACAACTACCATCACCATTTCTGTTACTTAAAATACTTGTCTCCAGCATTCTCTCCATCAAATCAGAAATTCTAGAGCAGAAATTATTTTTAAAAAGTTCTCCAGGTGGTCTTCATGTAACGTGAGAGAGAGCTACTCTTTGGGAATCATTGATCTGGTAGCTTAGTCTGAAAAACTGGTGCTTTGGAATCACTGGCAGCCATGCCGCCATGCTTTGTAGAGAAAGTGGGCTCATCAGTTTCATCAAAGGCCAATCATTCTGTCTCTCTGCAAGTACATATCAGTAAAAGGGAAGAGAAAATTAACAAAATAATAAAATGTTAGAAATGAATGGGGCATGATGATCATACCACCAATAATACTAAAACTAATGTTTATTGAGCATATTATGTACCAGATGCTGGGCCAATTGCTGTATGTGCATTATCTCTTAATCTAAAGCTGTGCTTATGAAGTAGGGGATTATTATCTTCATTTTTCAAATGGAGATTCTAATATTTAGACATTAACTAATTTCATCAAAGCGACACAGCTAGTAAGTACGAAACCAGGATTTAAAATAGGCAGCCTGACTGGAATCTGCATGATTAACCCTGATGTAAGGGGCATGGGGGAGTTTAGGGGAGGAACTTAGTCTAACCCTACATCTTTCATGTTTAAATAGCAAAAAGAAGAAGGCAGAGGACTGGTGTGATTTAATTAATAAAGTTTATATATCCATATACAAGTAAAAAAATCATCTTTTCAAGTATCCATGAAACAAATGTTCATGTAAATACAGAATGGGTTCAATACTGGGCCAAATATAAAATACTAAAAAAACAGAAATCATGCAAGCCACGTTTACTAATAATAGAATAAAAATTAACTATTTTTAATAATACAAGTCAGCAATTTTCCCAAACCCAAGTAAATATTAAATAAAAGGAGAAATCATAAGTGGAATTATAGATGATATGTAATACCATGACAATGGAAGCTATACATTAAACACTTTGACATGCAGCCAGATGAATACTTCCTACAGCAAAATAGGCGAAAACTATCTTAAGAGTTTTCTTTTTTAACAAGAGGGAATTAAAATCAATAATCATAACACTGAACTATTTCTTCTAAGAAGATAAAAATAAAAACAAAGTTACCTTTTGGATGCATTAGGCTGATGAGCATGTGACCCAGCCACATCCTCTGAATGGAATGGAATGGAAATATGTGTGGGGCAATAGCTAAGGCCTAATTATGACACTGCAGATTTAGATTTTTTGTTTCTCTTCTATGTGTTTAAGTCATTTCCTTATGGAAGTCACTTAAATGGATCTGACACTTACAAAGCCATTATTATCTGCTGTGTTGTATTCTGTGTTCTTTGAAGTGATTGCAAATTGGTAGATAAATCATGCTGGTAGATTCCAGGTTTCAAATGTAGGACAACTCATCTATAATTATTAAAATCTCCTAGCAATTTCATCTCTAAAACTGCCATAAATGGTATATATATATATATATATATGTTAATCTATGTATATTTATTTGAGAGTGTGTATATATACACACACACACACACACACACACACACACTGCCTTCATACCATAGACACAGGATGCTCTATAATGCATATTTTGTTTATTCTTAGATTAATTAATTTTCTTCTCTCTTCCATGAAATGCTATTATGGCATTTTTAATCACAACTGCAATTATCTTAAGAACCGTACCAAAGGAGTGTCAGGCATTAGTAATTTCATTAATTTTAGTCATTATGCCAAAATACATTAATTTAAAACTCATATACTCAAATAATCAAAATAATGCCTTTTTCACTACTTTTCAATGTTTTTCTCCAGCTCTAGTTTTTTCTATTTTTATCATTGCTAGTAATACCCTTTTCCTTTGCACATCTGTGATGAGCTTTTATGATAATAGAAGTTAATTTTTTTCTGCCTTTTTAGAGTATTGCATTAGCAGTACTCTTCTTTCAGGGAAACAAAATTCTCATGGTCGTTTACTTGTGCTTTAAAATGATTTAATGATATTTAAATGAATGTTTATATTTTCTACCTTGCATTAGAGTTATATGTGTATGTTAACTGTTTTATCTTCACTCAAAGTGTGAGCACCTGAGAGAAGTTTTATACTTTGGTATTCTCCCTGGCATATATTACATCTATGTCCACATACATATATTCCAGTACTTTGCACATGTTAGCTGCTCAATTTGCATACATTAAATGAAGAAAAAAAATGGTGACTTTTGTCTTTTGCAGGCAACTTTCCCATTCTCATTTTTGCTTTCTTTGAGCTGTTTTCCTGTAACACACCTAATTCAGCCACCACTGTGGAAAGTGTTCTTTATCTGATCTGATTGCTCAATATCAGAAGGGTTACAAAGATTATTCCACAATGAAACCTAAGTTGTTGTTTATGTATTTAAATTAAATTTGGATCCCACTACTAGGAATCTACTCAAAGGAAAAGAAATGAATTTCTCTAAGGGCTACCTGCATTTGCAGGTTTATTGCAGCACTATACACAATAACAAAGATAGCAAATCAACCTAAATGCCCATCAATGGATTAATGGTTAAAGTGTGGTACATATACAATATGGAATACTATTTGGCTAGTATAGTATGAAATTCTATCATCTGCAGCAACATGGGTGGAACTGGTGGTCATTGTGTTAAGTAAAACAACCCAGGCAGAGAAAGACAAATTTCACAGGTTCTCACTCATGTGGGAGATAAGAAATTTGATCACAAGGAAGTAGAGAGTGGAAAGAGAGAGAACAGAGACTGGGAAGGGTGAGTGGGATGGCTAAAGAGATGTGACGAGTACAAACATAGTTATTCGGTTGGAGAAAAGTAATGGCAAAAACTGCGATTACTTTTGCATCAACCTAATAGAAGGAATGAATTTTATGTTTCATAGCAGATTAGGGTGCCTGTAGTTAGACAAAAGCATATTTTACTCAGGTGAGGAACACCCTAAGTACCCTTAATCACTATGCATTATATACATCTAACAAAATTTCACAAGTACTGCATACATTTGTAAAGATAAAAAATATTTTAAATGAAACTTTGAACTTTGCAAAAAAAGAAAAGGGTTGCACAAATAATCATATAGTTTCCTCAACAATTAGGTTAAACTTCTCTCTTGTCTTTTCTCTTCACCCCCAACCCATACTTGAGAGATTTTATAAATGATTCATATAGTTTAATATTTATCTGTGATCTTCTGGAAAGGCTAAGCTGTGGATTATGACTACTTTAGCCTTAGGAGCTCTCCTTTGATTTTAAAGTATCTTCTTACCCATCAAAGTGGCCACAAGCTAGTTACAGTTGCAGTAAGCAAAATTGCCCTAAAAAAAGAAAGAATGGACTTTCTTAGTCCATTTGTGTTGCTATAAAGGAATACCTGAGTTTGGGAAGTTTTTAAAGAAAAGAGGTTTTTTTTTTTTTTTTTTTTTTTCCTCTCTAACTTTTTATTTTAAAATAGTTTTTTTTTTTAATGTTTTTTTTTTTATTATACTCTAAGTTTTAGGGTACATGTGCACATTGTGCAGGTTAGTTACATATGTATACATGTGCCATGCTGGGGTGCTGCACCCACTAACGTGTCATCTAGCATTAGGTATATCTCCCAATGCTATCCCTCCCCCCTCCCCCGACCCCACCACAGTCCCCAGAGTGTGATATTCCCCTTCCTATGTCCATGTGATCTCATTGTTCAATTCCCACCTATGAGTGAAAATATGCGGTGTTTGGTTTTCTGTTCTTGCGATAGTTTACTGAGAATGATGGTTTCCAATTTCATCCATGTCCCTACAAAGGACATGAACTCATCATTTTTTATGGCTGCATAGTATTCCATGGTGTATATGTGCCACATTTTCTTAATCCAGTCTATCATTGTTGGACATTTGGGTTGGTTCCAAGTCTTTGCTATTGTGAATAGTGCCGCAATAAACATACGTGTGCATGTGTCTTTAGAGCAGCATGATTTATAGTCCTTTGGGTATATACCCAGTAATGGGATGGCTGGGTCAAATGGTATTTCTAGTTCTAGATCCCTGAGGAATCGCCACACTGACTTCCACAATGGTTGAACTAGTTTACAGTCCCACCAACAGTGTAAAAGTGTTCCTATTTCTCCACATCCTCTCCAGCACCTGTTGTTTCCTGACTTTTTAATGATTGCCATTCTAACTGGTGTGAGATGATATCTCATAGTGGTTTTGATTTGCATTTCTCTGATGGCCAGTGATGATGAGCATTTCTTCATGTGTTTTTTGGCTGCATAAATGTCTTCTTTTGAGAAGTGTCTGTTCATGTCCTTCGCCCACTTTTTGATGGGGTTGTTTGTTTTTTTCTTGTAAATTTGTTTGAGTTCATTGTAGATTCTGGATATTAGCCCTTTGTCAGATGAGTAGGTTGCGAAAATTTTCTCCCATGTTGTAGGTTGCCTGTTCACTCTGATGGTAGTTTCTTTTGCTGTGCAGAAGCTCTTTAGTTTAATTAGATCCCATTTGTCAATTTTGGCTTTTGTTGCCATTGCTTTTGGTGTTTTGGACATGAAGTCCTTGCCCACGCCTATGTCCTGAATGGTAATGCCTAGGTTTTCTTCTAGGGTTTTTATGGTTTTAGGTCTAACGTTTAAATCTTTAATCCATCTTGAATTGATTTTTGTATAAGGTGTAAGGAAGGGATCCAGTTTCAGCTTTCTACATATGGCTAGCCAGTTTTCCCAGCACCATTTGTTAAATAGGGAATCCTTTCCCCATTTCTTGTTTTTGTCAGGTTTGTCAAAGATCAGATAGTTGTAGATATGCGGCATTATTTCTGAGGGCTCTGTTCTGTTCCATTGATCTATATCTCTGTTTTGGTACCAGTACCATGCTGTTTTGGTTACTGTAGCCTTGTAGTATAGTTTGAAGTCAGGTAGTGTGATGCCTCCAGCTTTGTTCTTTTGGCTTAGGATTGACTTGGCGATGCGGGCTCTTTTTTGGTTCCATATGAACTTTAAAGTAGTTTTTTCCAATTCTGTGAAGAAAGTCATTGGTAGCTTGATGGGGATGGCATTGAATCTGTAAATTACCTTGGGCAGTATGGCCATTTTCACGATATTGATTCTTCCTACCCATGAGCATGGAATGTTCTTCCATTTGTTTGTGTCCTCTTTTATTTCCTTGAGCAGTGGTTTGTAGTTCTCCTTGAAGAGGTCCTTCACATCCCTTGTAAGTTGGATTCCTAGGTATTTTATTCTCTTTGAAGCAATTGTGAATGGGAGTTCACTCATGATTTGGCTCTCTGTTTGTCTGTTGTTGGTGCACATAGTTGGAAGTAAAGCTCTCCTCAGCAAATGTAAAAGAACAGAAATTATAACAAACTATCTCTCAGACCACAGTGCAATCAAACTAGAACTCAGGATTAAGAATCTCACTCAAAGCCGCTCAACTACATGGAAACTGAACAACCTGCTCCTGAATGACTACTGGGTACATAATGAAATGAAGGCAGAAATAAAGATGTTCTTTGAAACCAACGAGAACAAAGACACCACATACCAGAATCTCTGGGACGCATTCAAAGCAGTGTGTAGAGGGAAATTTATAGCACTAAATGCCTACAAGAGAAAGCAGGAAAGATCCAAAATTGACACCCTAACATCACAATTAAAAGAACTAGAAAAGCAAGAACAAACACATTCAAAAGCTAGCAGAAGGCAAGAAATAACTAAAATCAGAGCAGAACTGAAGGAAATAGAGACACAAAAAACCCTTCAAAAAATCAATGAATCCAGGAGCTGGTTTTTTGAAAGGATCAACAAAATTGATAGACCGCTAGCAAGACTAATAAAGAAAAAAAGAGAGAAGAATCAAATAGACACAATAAAAAATGATAAAGGGGATATCACCACCGATCCCACAGAAATACAAACTACCATCAGAGAATACTACAAACACCTCTACGCAAATAAACTAGAAAATCTAGAAGAAATGGATACATTCCTCGACACATACACTCTCCCAAGACTAAACCAGGAAGAAGTTGAATCTCTGAATAGACCAATAACAGGCTCTGAAATTGTGGCAATAATCAATAGTTTACCAACCAAAAAGAGTCCAGGACCAGATGGATTCACAGCCGAATTCTACCAGAGGTACAAGGAGGAACTGGTACCATTCCTTCTGAAACTATTCCAATCAATAGAAAAAGAGGGAATCCTCCCTAACTCATTTTATGAGGCCAGCATCATTCTGATACCAAAGCCGGGCAGAGACACAACCAAAAAAGAGAATTTTAGACCAATATCCTTGATGAACATTGATGCAAAAATCCTCAATAAAATACTGGCAAACCGAATCCAGCAGCACATCAAAAAGCTTATCCACCATGATCAAGTGGGCTTCATCCCTGGGATGCAAGGCTGGTTCAATATACGCAAATCAATAAATGTAATCCAGCATATAAACAGAGCCAAAGACAAAAACCACATGATTATCTCAATAGATGCAGAAAAAGCCTTTGACAAAATTCAACAACCCTTCATGCTAAAAACTCTCAATAAATTAGGTATTGATGGGACGTATTTCAAAATAATAAGAGCTATCTATGACAAACCCACAGCCAATATCATACTGAATGGGCAAAAACTAGAAGCATTCCCTTTGAAAACTGGCACAAGACAGGGATGCCCTCTCTCACCGCTCCTATTCAACATAGTGTTGGAAGTTCTGGCCAGGGCAATCAGGCAGGAGAAGGAAATAAAGGGTATTCAATTAGGAAAAGAGGAAGTCAAATTGTCCTTGTTTGCAGACGACATGATTGTTTATCTAGAAAACCCCATCGTCTCAGCCCAAAATCTCCTTAAGCTGATAAGCAACTTCAGCAAAGTCTCAGGATACAAAATCAATGTACAAAAATCACAAGAAAAGAGGTTTATTGGGCTCATGGTTCTGCATGCTGTATAAGAAGCATGGTGCCAGCATCTGCTTCTTGTGAGGGCCTCAGGCTGATTTCCCTTGTGGTGAAAGGTGAGGGGACCTGGCATATGCAGAGATCACATGACGAGAGGGAAGGCAAGAGAGAGTGGAGATTCTAGGTTCCTTCTTTTTTTTTTTTTTTCTTTTTGAGACGGAGTCTCGCTCTGTCGCCCAGGCTGGAGTGCAGTGGCCCGATCTCGGCTCACTGCAAGCTCCGTCTCCCGTGTTCACACCATTCTCCTGCCTCAGCCTCCCCAGCAGCTGGGACTACAGGGGCCCGCCACCATGCCCGGCTAATTCTTTTGTTCTTTTAGTAGAGACGGGGTTTCACCGTGTTAGCCAGAATGGTCTCGATTTCCTGACCCCGTGATCCGCCCGCCTCGACCTCCCAAAGTGCTGGGATTACAGGCTTGAGCCACTGCACCCGGCCTCCAGGTTCCTTTTAACAACTAGCTTTCCAGGGGATTCTTGTGGGAACTGATAGAGCAAGAACTCACACATTCCCTGCCCCAGGGAGGGCATTAATCTATTCATGAGAGATCTGTTCCTATGATCCAAACACCTCCCATTAGTCACCACCTCCATCACTGGGGATCAAAGTTCAACATGAGATTTGGAGGGGATAAATCAAACTACAGCATAGATCAATCCAGAAAGTATATAAAATCTGGCTTTGTAACATTAAACTGGCATCCATGTATTCACAGGGGCTGAGCCCTTTTGTTTTGTGGATGTACTCTTGTGATGCTGTAATTTGTAATGTTAAAGAATATGACTCTCACAAGCACATAGTCATTTTACGTAAGTCCTCTCCAAGTTTGCTTCCTCTGAAAAGATGGCAAACGAACTTTTCTTGCTCTCCACACTCTGCTGTGTTCTAAGCTTCTTGGAGATTTTTGTGTAAGCCTCAATTAATGAATGGGTTCTCCTCAACTTATGATGGGTTTATGTCCTGATAAACCCACCGTTAGTTGAAAATGTTGATTCCACGTCAAAAATGCATTTAATACACTTAATTTACTGAACATTATTGTTTGCCTAGCCTATCTTAAACTTGGTCAGAGCACTTACACCAGCCTACAGTTGGGCAAAATATGTACCACAAGGCTTATTTTGTAATACAGTGTTGAATATCTCATGAAGTTTATTGAATGCTGCCCTGAAAGTGAAAAACAATGGTTTGACACCATTGCAAGGACAAAAATCATTAAATTGAACCCATCATTAGTTGGGGATCATCTGCATGTTTTAATCAGGCTGAGATTTGGATGTTAACCCCAATACCTGGTTGCTTGGAAATGTGGCAACTTCACCCAGAAAAACAGACACGAGACTTTTCTAACCACTATGATCAGTGTTTTTGTAACTTCATTAATTCATCCTGCAGATTCTTTTCTGTTCAAATTCTTCTGTGTGTATCCAAAATTGGCGTAAACCTAGTCCAGTTCCCTGGGAATTATCTTATTTTTTCGTTAAGGCAGCACAAGTACAGAAAGAATTATGGATTACCTTATTGGATTTCTCCACATTTATGTGAAATTCATCTGCATCAGTCTGTTTTTTTGCCTTTTTTAATTGGTAATTCAAACTGATTTCCAATTCTCCGTTGAACTATGTTATCCCGTTCTCTGAACAGAGTGGAATTTATGTACTTCTGTGTACTCCCCCTTCATGTTTATCCAATGGATAAGTGTAACTTATCCTTTTGACTGCAGCATAATTTACATGAAGAACATTTAACTACCCATTGGGCTCTTTCAATATTAGGAAAGATTATTTCACTGGATTTCTTTGGAAGAGAAAAATCCTCTAAAATACATGTCATCCTTTTTGTTGTCTAGCAAATATTCTCTCTCTTCCTTCTCCTTCTATGGTAGGAGTGTAATATTAAAGTTGGGCTTGGACACATGACTTTGTCAATGAAACATGGCAGATGTGACAGGGCACATGTTTCTATCAATCCTCATGTACTCCTGCCTGCATTATGAAATAGTATGTCTTAGTTGGTAGCTGCTCTTTCATCCTGGGACTTTAAATAAGAAAACACATGGAGGCTGTTCTGAAACTGACTTATTACCTGGAGAGGGTCCACATAGCTGACCTGCAGACCAGCCTGTGCAAAACGAATACTTGTGGCTGTAAGCCTCTGAGATTTGGGGTTGTTTCTTATGAAGCATTTTTAGAAGGAACATTTGTCCAGTGGGAATTCAGAATTGTTCTGGATCAGTGACTACTATGTGCCTCTCATTTTTCACCTGTCCAAATGGGGTTGTTTATTGCTGTCATCCTTGTGTTGTTTCACTTTTGTATGATGTATGTATGTGTGTGTGTGTGGTCATAAGGGGATGTAAATAGCTTTTCTTTTTACCTCATCGGTGTCTGAAACAGTACAAACCATATCTGGACCTGCTACAGAAGTTAGTACAAGATCCTGGACTTCAAATCTAATGTCTTTTGGAGAATTCCCTGAGAGAGGGTATGAGTACATTTTGGACACAGAGGGAAGGAGCACTAATATTTGAGATCAAGAGTGAGGACTATGAAAGATTTTATTATTCAGCAAATAATCACTTTCTCTTCATCCCCTATTGGAAGCAAACACTATTGAGGCCCATCTCTGTTGTTTTGGCCATATGACTTACTCCGAACAGTGGAATGCTGGAAGAAGTGGGTGTGCTCACTCTAAAGGAAGGTTTTAAGAGACATTGAAAGTTTCTGCCACCCTTCTTGCACTCCAGCCCTTCTCATAATAGTAGCACACCCTGGACAGGAGCCACTTCTCTGACTTTGGCCATAGGATGAGAAGGCATTTGAAGAAGACCTAAGCCAGCAGAACAGTCATAGCCAACCTGCAGAGCTGTGAGTAAGAACTGTTTGTTGTTTAAATCAACTGAAATTTAGGAGATCTTTTTCCATGCAGCCCTATCACAGCAAAAGCTGTCTTGGATATTCTTTTAATGGTGGGGCAGGGGAGTGGCTAATATTCACAGATCATTGGCATTTGAGCTAATCATGTTTCTGTCCAGACAACTATGTGTGGAAAATATCAAACTCAAAGAGGGATTATTCTTGAAATTATCAAGTCAGTTAGGAACCAAGATGCTTGTTCTAAAAATATCCTGCTATTCAGCATGCAAAATGTAACATTAAAAATAAAAACAAAAAGGAATTGCATCTAACTTCACTGAAGATTATTGACAGACTGGCTGCATTTCTTCTACAGCTTGAGTACACGGTGATGGCACCATTTCAAGTCCTCAGCTCATTGGTCTCATTTTCAGGGCAGTCAGTATTTTTTTAAAAATTTGTTTCCATTGTTGCATTTGTTTGCTCAACAGCTACAATATTTGGATAAACATATTTTTAATTGCACTTAGAACTTTTTATGTACAAATTTTGTAGGCATTGGACTTCCGCTTTTAAAACAGCCTCAGAACACTTTATTTTTCTTCTGATTTGTCTGTATCTTTCTCTATCTGTTTTTTCTCCAGTGGTGCTTTTCTTTATCCCTTGGGGGCTGCTCATCAGATTTCTTTTTTTTTCTTTTTACATTAAGAAAAATGAGATGGGGTCTTTCTCTGTCATCCAGACGGTAGTGCAGTGGTGCAATCATAGCTCATTGCAGCCTCAAGCTCCTGGGCTCAAGAGATTCTCCCATCTCAGCCTCCTGAGTAGCTGGGACCACAGGTGTGAGCCACCATATCTAGCTAAATTTTTACATTTTTTTAAGAGATGGTGTCTCCTTATTTGCCCAGGCTGGTCTTGAACTCCTGACTTCAAACGATTCTCCTGTCTCAGCTTCCCAAAGTGCTGGGATTACAGGCATAAGCCACCACTCCTGGCTAGCTTGTTAGAATTCTGATTGAGGTCCACTGGTATATTTTTTTCTTCTATCCATCCCTATGCAGTGGAATACGTCTACTTGTTAAATTTCTGTCTATGTAAATTTTCTATACAGGGTTGGCCAACCTCACTTACCAGGTAGAGGTAATTGGCACTTCCAGCATATTTCTGAAAGTGGACTTAGAGAACTAATAATAACTGATGGCCTTGTAAATGTAACGCCTTCATGATAAGCACCAGGCTATTTTGTGAAACAATGACCACCAGCTTCTTTTCTGGGATATTTATCTCTAGGCTTAACCTTAATCCTTCACTCTAATCATCTTAATACATAAAATCTATCTAATTATGTGTTTTATTCATACTATTCTTTACAAATTACACACACAGTGTTTGCTTTAAATTTCACATCGTCTTTGCTACTATTATTCAAGTATATGATCAATGCCTAGAAAAGTTTAAAAGAAGCCAAATCGAAAGAATGCATGAGGTCTAAATAATTATTATAAATTCAATAAATATAAATATTTAAATGAAAATGTATGACTGTTTTGGGGACAGTATGCAGAATATACAAATTTCAATAATAACAGCAACCTAGGTTTAATCTCTCATCAAACAGGAAAAATATTGAAAAGGATTCTAGGCAGAAAGAAAAAGAGGCAAGTGTAGTTCCTTATTTCATACTAGGAAGAAATGAAATATTATTTGATTTTTCTCTTAAATTTTGCAATCACAACATAGGCTCAAGTATGTATGATGGGAGGGTGCACTGAATCCACCCACCCCAGTTTACCTCCAGACACAAAACCCATACTTAATAAGCAAGAAATAAAAGCTAACGAACTGCGAAAATTGTTTCTTTTATGCTTGCAGAAACCTGCGGACTTGAGCTTACCATGGGCAGGTTGTGAAAGAGGAAGTGAATGGTGAATATGTGCAACCTGAAGAGTTCAGGAAAGAAATTAGGGAAAATAGCTGATCCCCGTGACTAAAGGGATTTCAAAGAGAGAAGTCCTGTGGAAAGAGAGTTGTTCAAGCAGAATTTGTTAAAATGTTGGTTGTTACCGTTGCAATATAATACTTTTTTTCATCTCCCCATAAAATATTAAATGAAATTTATATTCCGTGTCAAAGTACTTCTGAATCTAAAGCTGTACTTTTGAGGAGATATTCAAGTGGGCAAAAGTGGCACAACAAAAGTAGGCCCCCAAAGATGTATGGTACTTTTAAACTTAATTGTAAAATTAACCGCAAAATATTAGAAAAAAATTAAAGCAAATAATATGTAACCTGTAGGAGACAGAAAAGAAAACAAACCTTAAGGAAGCATAAGAAAAAGATGATGGCATATAAATAAGTCTAAGTGTATCACATAAGTTAACAAGCAATAAACAGGTTAAAAAATCTAATGCTGGATGCTCATGCCTGTAATCCCAACACTTTTGGAGGCAGAGGTGGGAGGATTGCTTGAGGCCAGGAGTTCCCAAACAGCCAGGGCAACAAGCAAGACTCCATTTCTCCAGAAAAAAACAAACAAAAAAAAGCCAGGCATGTTGGTGTCTGCCAGTAGTCCAAGCTACTCAGGAGACTGAAGTGGCAGGATTGTTAGAGCCCAGGAGTTCAAGGCTATAGTGAGCTCTGATTGCACCACTGCACTCCAGCCTGAGTGACAGAGCGAGACCCTGTCTCAAAAAACAAAACAAAACTGTACTAAGATCCTTAAGTGATTTTTGAAAACAAAACCTAAACAGTGATACAAAAAATGTAAACAAAAATGATACATAAACAAAAGTTAAACAGAAATACATTGGAGTTAGCAATAATAGAATCAAAAACACAGAAGAGTAAAATGGAGAGAGTGGGCCATTTGGTAAGGCTGTTATGCACAGTCTATAATTATATGATAAGTAGCTAGCTTGTAATCAAAATATGTAAATAAAAACATTAGAAATGAATGGAGCATAATGATAACAATACTACTAATAATAAAACTAAAGCTATAGATCATATTATGTGCCAGGCACGATGCCAATTGCTATAGCTCCATTACCTCTTAGGCTAAGTTGGGAGTCATTATCTTTGTTTCATAAATGAGACACTAAAGTTTAGAGACATGCACTAACTTGACCAAGATGACACAGCTGGTTAAGTACAAAACCAAGTTTTAAAACAGGCAGCCTGACTCTTCATCCACATGATTAACCTTGACAAAATGTAGCAGGGGTATTTTAAAAGGAGAATTTAGCCTAACCCAAAACTTTAATGTTTTAGGTAAATAAAAATAAATACTATGACAGAGGACTGTTATTACAATTTTTTAATACAGTTATTTTCTGCATACAAAGAAAAAAAACCCTCACCTTTTCAAGAATCCATGAGGCATTTACAGAATGGGTTCAATACTGAGCCCAAAATTAAATATTAAGAAACAAATATTTAACAAGCCATATTTACTCATAATAGAATTTTAAAAATTAAAAGTTGTTCAATTATATAAAGAAGTCAGCAAGTCTTCCTAAACTCAATCTATTATAAAAAATATAACACACAAACCCTAAATAAGAGGTAAAATCTTAAGTAGAATTATAATTATATATAATTCAATGACAAAGCAATACATTCAACATTGATGTGCAGTGAAATAAGTACTTTCAGTAAAATTCACATGTATTAGTCTGTTTTCATGCTGCTAATAAAGACATACCCGAGACTGGGAAGAAAAAGAGGTTTAATTGGACTTACAGTTCCACATGGCTGGGGAGGCCTCAGAATCATGGCGGGAGGCAAAAGGCACTTCTTACATGGCAAGAGAAAATGAGGAAGCAGCAAAAGCAGAAACCCCTGATAAACCCATCAGATTTCATGAGACTTAGTGACGATCATGAGAATAGTATGGGAAAGACCAGCCCCCATGATTCAGTTACCTCCCCCTGAGTCTTTCCCACAACATATGGGAATTCTGGGAGATACAATTCAAGTTGAGATTTGGGTGGGGACACAGCCAAACCATATCAACATGTTAAGACTTTCCTTATTTAATAAGAAAAAAAAAACCACAAAAAATAATCACAGCATTGAGCTATTTCTTCTAAGAGAGAAATGAAAGAAACTTAAAGACCAAGGAAATACAGAAAGAAAAAAGAGAATTAATAAATTAGAGAACAGGAATACAAGATGATGAATAATATAAATTGATTATTTAAAATTATGAAAATATGCACAACTTTTTGAAGAGTAAGTAAAATGAGAAAAGCCAAATTAAGAATGATAATGGGGATAGAATAATACTCTATTTAAACATTTCTGAAAACATATAATCAAAATTGTTACAAAATAAATAGAAATACATATGTTTGATTCTCAGACTCCCAGTCTGTAAAGTTTTTGCTTTTATTTTTTTAGAGACAGGGTCTCACTATGTAGCACAGTGTGGTTTTGCAAACTATCAGGAAACAGATAACTTTTGTGTTATGTAACCGAGAATTAATATCAAAAAGTTGAAAAAATCCCCAATAATATAAATCCTAACAATAAGTGCAAAAAAGCAACAAACAATCCAGTGTTTAAGAACATATATATATATTCTGTAAACGTTTATCTGTATTCTTTTGTGTGTGTGTGTGTGTGTGTTTACTGTTTGTCAGATATTACTAGAAAGTTTTTCAACTTGATATTCTCATTTAGCTTAGTAACATGAAAGTTACCTTTGTGTACATATATACGTACAGGCTAAAACTCTAAAATACATTAGCAATTTAAAGCGTGACCAAGACGGATGTATCCTTGGTGCTCTGGAATGTCCTTCCTCACTCTGGCAGTAGTTTAGGAGACTCCAGCTCAGCAAGTGTGAGTTGGAGAACACAGGACCCCTGGCCAACACAAGGCTGAGCTCCAAAGGCTCCCATTTCCTGATGAAATCCTTTCCTTCCCCTTCTGTGTCCATTTGTGGCATAGCCCATTGGGTATTCCCAGTCCCTCTTGAACTCGTTTATAAATATGTAAAGCAGCAGTCAGTTGAGACCCTCTCTTGGAGCCTTTCCTATGATGTCTCCTGCCCACGTGCACCTCTCAGCAGGAGGAGTCAGGGTGTTTTGCTGCTTCTCTGCTTCTAAGTGTCCATTCCTCCCCAGCACTGTCAGTCCACACTCCACTGCATAACAGAAAAATTAGTAAATTGTCCGCAACACTCAAGAGTTTATCATACGAATGCTAAGATACTTTATTTTTAGAAAATACTTTTGAGACAGAGTTTCATTCTATTACCCAGGCTGGAATGCAGTGGCATGATCTTGGCTCACTGCAACCTCCACCTCCTGTGCTCAGGTTATCCTCCTACCTCAGCCTCTCAAGCTGCTGGGACTACAGGCATGTGCCACCCTGCCCAGCTAATTTTTTGTAAAGAAAAAATATATATATTTTTAAGAGACAAGGTCTCATTATGTCCTCCAGGATGAGTGCAATGGCACAATCATACCTCACTGAAGCCTCGAAATCCTAGGCTCAGGCGGTCCTCCCACCATAGCCTCCCAAAGTACTGAGATCACAGGCATGAGCTACCCTGCCTGGCCAGAAAAATACATTTTAAGAAGCTAATTTTTTTTTAATTATTACACTTTAAGTTTTAGGGTACATGTGCACAATGTGCAGGTTAGTTACATAGGTATACATGTGCCATGCTGGTGTGCTGTACCTATTAACTCATCATTTAGCATTAGGTATATCTCCTAATGCTAACCCTCCCCCCTCTCCCCACCCCACAACAGTCCCCAGAGTGTGCTGTTCCCCTTCCTGTGTCCATGTGTTCTCATTGTAAGAAGCTAATTTAACCCATTTATGCCTGAGGTTGCAATTTTTTGAATTTGAAAAATCAGACCTTGGTGATGACCTTGAGCAGTAGGATATAAATAACTCCCACATGCTTACTGTTCTAATAATGGAACGCTAGGCATAGGTGGGTTTAAGCTGAAAGAATAATCTCAAGACATGCCAAAATGATATTTGATAAATTTCAAAGCCTACTGACAAAGATATATCAGGATCCAGGGATTTTCTCCATATAACAAATCATTTATAAATCACAGTGAAGTCAACATCCTCATAATGAAACATGAAACTCTCCTATTTAAAATTAGTGATAAGGCAGGGATGCTTACTGCTGTTTGCGTTATTTGCACTTCTACAGGAAACATTAACCTATATGAAGCAGAAAAAAAATTATGACTATTTGCCAATAATGTTATTTTGTAAAAAATTATACATTTCAAATTCTTTAATTCAGCCTTTACTAGAATTAAAGTAAAAATTAGAAATCACACAATTTTTAACAGCCAAATCTTTGAGAGATTTATGCACTCTGACCTACCAACCCCAATATTTAGGAATACAAAGAATTGAATTGGCTATTACATTTTGTAATATGGGTAAGAAAAAACAGTGGCGAGGCATGGTAGCTCACACCTATAATCCCAGCACTTTGGAAGACTAAGGCAGGGGGAGTGCTTGTGGCCAGAAGTTTGAGACCAGCTGCCCACTACAGAAAGACCCTGTCTCTACAAAAAAATAACCAGGTATGGTGGCGTGTGCCTATAGTCCCAGCTGTTGGGAGGCTGAGGCAAAAGGATCATTTGAGTTCAGGAGGTTGAGTCTGCAGTGAGTTGTGATTGCGTCACTGCATTATAGCCTGGGCAACAAAGCAAGACCCTGTCTCTAAATAAATAAATAAATAAATAAATAAATAAATAAATAAATAAATGAGAAAAAGAGCTGGAAATGATTCAGACACAGCTACCCTGAAGCTTGGGGTAAAGTTCCTTTCTGGCCTATTTTTATTTATTCTATATCTTTTTAGAAATACATGTTTTCTAATTTTTAAAGTTGATACATAAGAATTTTTCATGACACCTGTAATTCCAGCACTTTGGGAGGCCAAGGCAGGCAGATCACTTGAGGTCAGGAGTTAGAGACCAGCCTGGTCAACATGGTGAAACCCCATCTCAACAAAAAATATACAAAAATTAGCCAGGCATGGTGGCACGTGCCTATAATCCCAGCTACTCTGGAAGCTGAGGCAGGAGAATGGCTTGAACCTGGGAGGCAGAGGCTGCAGTGAGTGGAGATCGTACCACTGCAACCCAGCCTGGGGGACAGAGGGAGACTCAGTCTAAAAAAAAAAAAAGAATTGTGCATGTTTATGGAGTACATCATTACGTTTCAATCCGTAAAGTATATAGTGAGCAAATTGGGGTAATTTGCATATCCAACACCTCAAATATTTATCATTTCCTTGTGTTGTGAATATTTAATATCTTTTCTTCTAGCTATTTGAAAATATATAATAAATTATTGTCATCAGAATATTGAAGCATGACTAGTTTGTTTGCAAGAAGCTTTCCTGCGAGAGTCTACTTGTAATTTAAGTGATGACTATCACAGAACTATTGACTTTGAAACTATAAGGCTCTTTCAATTATTTGCTACAAGAAAATGTTTTCTTTTTATTATGTATGTGTCATACGAAGGTAAAATTTCAATACTTAACACATACTTCAGCTATAATAATCTTGTTATGTTGAAGTCATGAATTATAGAACAAGAAAACTAAATGGTGATTGTAGCAGTAACATTTAAAAAATACAAAGCAGAATCTCAAAAATTTGTGTAAAATTCTTAGCACTGATAAGAATTCTGAAAGTCTTGAGGTGGTAGTGAGCTAAGATCAAAATTAAATAAAATTAAAATTTAAGAGAGTTCTGAAAGTCACGTACAAGAAACTAAATGCATTTATAAAGTATTTCTAATTAGCTGGGCATGGTGGCGCATGCCTGTAATCCCAGTTAGGAGGCTGAGGCAGGAGAATTGCTTGAACCCCCGAGGAGGAGGTTGCAGTGAGCCTGGATCACGCCACTGCACTCCAGCCTGGGTGACAGAGTGAGACTCTGTCTCAAAAACAAAAACAGAAAAAACCCCAAATAAATAAAAAGCATTTCTATATACTGGACGTTATGGAGTTCGTGTTTGTGTTTTCCTCTAATTCTTGTGTTGAAACCCTGACCCCTAATAGGATGGTACTAGGAGGTGGAACCTTTGGGAAGTGAGCAGGTCATGCGGTTGGAGCCTCCCTGAATGAGATCAGTGCCCTTATGAGAAGAGACAATAGATCTCTTGCTTCCTCCATTTCTGCAATCTGCTATGTGAAGACACAGAAGAAGATGCCCAACTGCAAACCAGGAAGTAGGTCCTCATAGATACTGCACCTGCTTTGATCTCGGACTTCCAGATCTAAGAGAAGCTTTCCAGAACTAAGAGAAATAAACTTCTGCTCCTTAAACCACTCAGTCTATGGTAATTTGGCATAGCAGCCTGAACTAAGATACCAGATATATACAGAAAAAATTATTTTTAAATTTCCATTCTTGTAATAGTTGCCATAAATACCTAATACCTAGAATTAACCTTAAAAGGATATATTCAGGACCCCACAGACAAAAATCAAAACATTTTTAAAATGTTATTGATGAAAATAAAAGAATTGAGTAAATGGAGAGGCAAACATGTTCTTAACTGGTAAGTTTAAATAATTGAAAATTTTCCCCAGGCTAATTTTTAGATGGACATCCCAAAGTTTGTTTGTTTCTCTGAAGTTTGACAAAATATTATATATTATTTTTATTTTGGTCACATAATAAAATGGCATAAATACCCAAGGACATTTTTGAGACAAGGTCTCACTGGAGTGCAGATCATGGCTCACTTCAGCCTTGACCTCCTAGTATCAAGCCATCCTCCACTTCATCCTTCTGAGAAGCTGGGACTACAGATGTGAGCCACCATGCCCAACCAAGGAAGTTCCAAAAAAGAGAAGTAAGGCAAGATGTGAACCACATTATAAAACTAAAATAATTAAAATGACATCATACTAGAACCAAAATCATCATACAGGTCAGTGGAATAGAATAAAAGGTACCAAAACAGTATCTATATATACACATTTATTATCTGGGTAAAGAAGTCACTTCAAATTACTGAGTGTTAAAAAAAAATGCCACTGGGACAATTGATTAACCAAAAAGAAGAAATTAAAAACTTCATTATGTTAAGAAAAATTTTCAGTTAGGTTAAAATGTTAAAGTAAAAATAAAAATGTAGAATCTATAAAAGCAAAGCAAATTACTTAAGTTATTTTAGAGCAGGAATTTTCTGAGCATAGGGCAATGGATGAAATTCGAACACATGAAAGTAAAAAAACATGTCAAGTGAAAAGTAAAATGTAAAAAATATATGTGACAAATATGACAGTTAACATACAATGAGGTTGTTCAGCTAAAAGAACACCTCAAATATGTAGAAAGGAGGTTTCACATATCTCAAGTTGCTAATAAAAATAATAAAAATATTCAACTTGAATATAAAGCAAAAAATACAAATTATATACCATAAAATACAAATTAAGAACAGAAGTTATATACTATCTTTTCCTTACCAATTTATAGAGAGTTGGCAATGCCGTATATTCTATGATGCCTTTAAAAGGCACTCATATACTGCTGCTGTCAGAAAAATTGGTATAGACCTTCAGAAAACACATAACGAAACCTGTGAAGACATTAAAATAGGTTTATATCATTTGATTTGGTGATTTTGGTTTGAAGAATTGAAAATAAGTATATAGTCAAATAAAGATTGATATATAAAGTTCATTACAGCATTGTTTATAATAGTTTGAGTAAATAAACGGCAATAGTAAAATGGATAAATCATCGTGTCTCTAGATGGTTGATTGTAACAAAACCATTAACATTTGACATAGTTCCACAATCATAAAGTCATATGCAAAAGTCAAGATGTATAATTGTGTATAGATCTTAATTTCATGTATATTATAATTATTGAAATGTTTATAATGTTTTTTACTGGGAAGCAGAATTATAATTTTCTATAATTTCCGAATCTTCTAATGAATTATTTCAAGCAAATGGGCAAATATTTTCCTCCTTACTTAGATGTGCAAAAATCAAACAAAACAAATTTGTATTGCATTCATTCATTCATTCATTTCTTTATCTGTTTGCTTATTTATTTATTATTCCTTTTTCCTTACAAGTGCCTCTTCCCAGCTGGGTAGTGGAGGAACTTAACTTGGTCAATTGACAATCTCTCCATGTCTTCTTTAAACCATTTCCTTTCAGTTCCTGCTGGTCACCTACAGGTTAATGTTCAAGTTTTCAGAATGGAGCTTTTCATCTTTCTCCTTCCCAAGATGGAGTCTGGGTGTGAGGGAGGACATTGTGTCCTGAGGAAGATGGGGAAGGGCCCTCTCATCTTCATCTACTGTGGTGCTGTAGAGTCTTTCTCAGTCTCTGAGTGATGATTAGTGGAGTCTCTCAGCCAAAGATAGTCAGTTTCTGGAGGATGACGTCCGCCATTTGAACATCTCAGCTAACCCTGCTGCCGTCTCTTATCATTTGCATCTGGTAAATTCCTCATCTGTTATCTCTCAGTTGGTTGGAGTCCCATATCTGCTATCTACTCTTAGAAGTCTTAAGTGTTGGCAGGCCGAGGCAGGCGGATCACGAGGTCAGGAGTTCAAGACCAGCCTGGCCAGCATGGTGAAACGCTGTCTCTACTAAAAATACAAAAATTAGCTGAGCATGGTGGCATGTGCCTGTAGTCCTAGCTACTCAGGAGGGTGAGGCAGGAGAATTGCTTGAACCCTGGAGGCAGAGGTTGCAGTGAGCTGAGATCATGCCACTACCCTCCAGCCTGGGCAACAGAGCAAGACTCCACCTCAAAAAAAAAGTGTTATATTTAACTTTGAAGTCTACTTAGATTTGCTGTTTGGTGTACTTTGTAAGCTACATTGTATGTCCTTTGTCTTGTCTTCAGAGATGCCCTCTCACTCTTAAAACAACTAGTATCATCAGCTACATTCTGTATCCCTTTACAGGGTGAATGGGGTTTTCCAGATGATTCCCAGGCTATGTGAGAGCAAGCAAGGTTCTGAGGAGGGCAACTTAGTTATTCTCCTGGCCTAACTTGTCATAGCCCTTATTTTACTTTTTGCCAAGTTAGTGTGGGGTTCACCTGGAGAGGTGATCTAATCCCATAGTCTCAAATGAACAAGAGAGCAGTTTAATTTCATTTATTTATTTATTTGGAGACAGTTTCTTACTCTGTCATCCAGGCTGGAGTGCAGTGGCATGATCATAGCTCACTGCAGCCTCAAACTTCTGAGTTCAAGTGATCTTCCTTCCTCAGCCTCCCAAGTAGATGGGACTACAGTGCACACCACCCCACCTGGCTTTTTATTTTTTGTAGAAACAGAGTCTAGCTATGTTGCCCAGGCTGATTTCAAACTCCTGGCCTCAAGCAGTCCTCCCTCCTCAGCCTTCCAAAGTGCTGGGATTACAGGTGTGAGCCGCTAAACTCGGCTATTTTTATGAAATTTTAAAACATAAGTGTATTATTTGACTCCTTGAGAAGGACAAGTAAGAAACAGAATTGTGGACCTGTTTAGATGCTAGGAGGCAATATGGTGTGGTGAAATAAATATCAGTTTTGGATTAAATATTTCTAATTCTGATCCGAACAGCGATGATTTCTCTGTGATATTTGAGAAGTCACAATGTCTTAGAACACAATTTGTCTAGACAATGGAGAGTCCAAAGTGGGCAGGGGGACACAGGTCAAAAAAATGACCTATCTGGTACTATGTTTGCTACTTGGACAACAGGATCATTAGAAGCCCAAACCTCGGCATCATGCAATATGTCCATGTAAAAAACCTGCACATATATCCTCTGAATCTAAAATTTTAAAAAAGAAAAACATGATGTGTTTCATTTATAAAGTGACCCTTTAACATACTGTGAAGGATTGCTGGGAAAACTTGAAATAATATATGTAAATTGTGTAGCTCAGTGCCTGGCATGTATTATGTGGTCAATAAAAGTGGGAGCATTTGTTGGTAGTGCTGGTTCTTGTTGAGGTTTTGGTGATTCTCCTCTTTTAAACTCTACTCAGGCTAAGGCTCATGTCTTCAATACACTTTGGAAGGAATCTCAACACTTGCTCAAGTGCTGGGTATTCAGTAGATGTGACGGGCTAGGATACAGACTGTGATATTGACTTTCTTTTTAGAACTGTGAATTGTCCATTATGCCTATGGTTATGGAAAAATAATATGCACAAGTTTTTCAAAAGAAAGAGGAGTGTAGTCAAAGGTTATTATTAGCAGTTCAACACTGCGATAGGTGTAGTCCAATCCGCTGTACACAGGTCTCCTTTAGAGCCAATGTCTTGTTTAAAAAATAAAGCAAGCTAAGCATGTAATAGTGGCACATCGAGAAATGCTTTATGTGATACAGAGTGTACCCGAGTGCTGACTGAAGTAGTTATGAAGCTCCTGGGCAGGCCAAATGGCATAATAGCAGCAAACCCATAGATCTAGGCTTCTTACATGGTAAATAACAAGGTAGGTCAGGTGTACCCTGGGGAGGAGGTTTTGGGGATCTGAGTTCCTGCATCTGAGTCTTTTCCATTGTATATATCCTTTCCCTCCTTGTTGGTTGGTTTTAGTATTAAAACAAAGACTATCCCAGGTTCTCTGCACCCTAAAATCTGGACCAGCCCATAGGATCTGGTCCAACCACATACTTACCTATTAAGAATAAAACAATTGTAAAAGTGTAATATTTCTATTCCCCCCAAAAAATCAGAAAGTAAAAAGCAAGTTAATCTCATTAGCTTTCAGGATAATAAATTATTTTACTAATTCACTCTCTCTCTAATCTCATGATATTTCTAAAATATTTTAACTGTTATGTGATATCTTCAAAAACATATAAGGAACTCTGAAAAAGAAGGAGGGCATTTTTCCAAATTTCTTACTTCTCAGAATATATAAAAATATTCAAAAGTAAAAAGAATGATTCTTGAAATCTGAACTTGAGGCTTTGTTTTATTATATAATGCAGGAGAGTGATGCCGCTGGCTGAGTCTGGGAAAGTTTACAGAATTCTGGTCTGAGGATCATCCCACAACCCCCTCCCCTACCAAGACCTAGAGTCTGGGTGTTCAGATTGGGCACTTGGCAGCAGACGATGATCTAGAAGGCAATCAAGGAAAATGGCTATTAAAAGATCACAGGCTTACTGAAGGGAGAAAAATGACTTTTGCTAAAAGCTAAATCTCTGAATATCCCCGAAGCTATTTTTTCTCTTGACCTATATGTGTGGCCCTGTGTATGCATAGTCACAATTTTCACCTGATTTTTTTTTTGGGTGTGGGGGGTAATGATCTTTACACACATTTAAATTTAACACTTGCTAAGCCACTTAAAGGACTGAGTTAAATAAGAAATCACTTAAGCAATCTTGGATTCTTGCCATTCCTTGTGATTTCATGGGGAGGGGGGTACCACTCGTAGGACAGAAGCCAATCTCTAATTGTTTTATTTAATTAGATCATTTCAATAGCTAAGCTAGCCTGAAGACCTTGTTTCTCTGTGTCCTCTCACCTTGATTGGGTTGCTTTGTTCAAGCCTATTTCTCTAGAACCTTTGTACTTTTTGACCATGGAATTGATGGGGTATTAGCTGGGGTCTTCACATATTTTAGCAGAGGCATTTCTCAGGTTGCTTCTCATTTTCCCTTCTCCTCTGCTCCATGATATATGAAAATTGATTATTTTTGCCTTCCTGCAGCCAAGTAGAAGGTTGTAAGTCACTATGAATCTATAAAAGCTGTCACCTTTCAGTGGTGGTGCATTTGTGATATTTTCTGAGGGCTAAGAGAATGGGTGTTCTTGATAAATACTTCTCCCTGTCACCTAAAAGACAAAAAAAGAAAGTATTCCACTGTCAATTTATCATAAACTTGAAATGTCAATGGAAAACAGCATTTTTTGGTTGCACATGAAAATTACACATGGCATTACTTTGAAAGATTGAATCTTCTGAAACTCATCAAGCAATAACTGCTCCACACATTCAGGGATGGCAGTGTTTTTCTTCCTCTTCTGTCAGGGAATGCATTACAGAGGTGATGTGAGTCTATGGCTTCTCTGAGCACCAATAAGAGGTCCAAATGAATGATTGGAATGCTTGCAACTTGGCTGAACCAAATGTGATGAGTTCTTGTTCTCACCTATTTTTAAATAACTCCTAAATATTCAACCAAATGTAATTTAATTGCATTTACATATTGGAAGCTAAGCAATGGGTGAATAAGGCCAAATCCTTAGCAGGATGCTAATGGGATTTGGAAGTTCAAGATCCCTGATCAACTCTACTAGCTTATTTATGATGGAATCACAGATGTGGATCACAGGTCAAGAAAGGTTGGTCAGTTGTCTGAGGGAGCATTTCTCCACAATTCTGCCCCATCATTTCCATACAAACTAAGGTTACACCCTATAATTTGAGTGTGGTCTGAGTCTACTAGGAAGGGGGCCCTGGACCCTAAATCTTATCTTCATTAGATGTCAGAGTTAGATGGTACCTTACTCAAAAACGGGCCCAACTCCTACATCTTAAGCTGTAAGATTTACCCAAAGACATACAACAAAGCAAAGTGGTTGCAGATTCTGGTGCACAGCTTTTACCCACAAGTCCATTGTCATGTTGGTTTTGTTTTGTTGTTTGCTTTCCCTATCTCCACTCTGATCCTAATTCTGACCATAAGTTTCATCTGCGATTTTGCACAAGTCAGGAGTGACTTGTGGGTGAAGGCCTGTGTATGAGTGGGATCCGCACTCATGCATTTACTTGCATAGGTCCTGCAAGGAAGGACCTCAGCCTCAACAGCATCCTTCAGAGCAGCCAACTGCAGTGATCCTTTTCTTATCCGTCCTTATTACTTATTTACATAAAGAGCTGCCATCCCTTAACTAATAAATTTTGAGCCTTTCTTGTAAATCTGGATGGCTTGCCAGTGTGATGGCAGTGCAAAAGTGATTTCCCCAGAGGGCAGGCAGTAGACAGAAAGTAACTCCGCCTTTGTTAGGGAAGATATATGAGGCTTTTAGCTATCTGCAAATATGGTGAAATTGGACGATGGTAGCAGCATCCAATCACCATTCCAGTTCCTCTCTGCCAGAAGGACATAATGCAGGAGTCAGTATATGGTTCCATGCCCAAAGATGCAAAACAGAAAGATAATAGCATATGTTTGCTGAGACTTGAAGCCAGGTATTGCATTAAGCATTTTAAATACCTTATTCCATTTTAAAATCCTTACTATAGCCTGAGAGGATGAGTATTATTAAAATGACCATTTTGCAATTGAGAAAAATGAGGCCCCAAAAAAGCTGATCCTCTTGTTTAAGGTCTTAAAATTAGAAACAGAAAAGCTGGCATTGAACATGGGCTATTTGACCCCGAAACCTACGGTTGTAGCCATCACACTCTGACATGAGAAACTGCTAACTTAGGGCTCTAATTTCATGCAAGCCCAGAAAAACAGTGTAGTGAAAGAAAACTGGTACCAACCTGTGGGTACGGTGATGTGTCTTCTAGTCCCAGGTCACCACGCACTGACCATCAATCTTAGGGAAGTCATCTGTTCTCTGCAGCCCAACCTTTGCATTCTCATCTGTTAAATGAGTTTGGGACAGTTTGGTTTCTAAGATCTCTTCTAGTTCTAACTATCTGGAGCTAGGTTGTAACCAAGCCAAGGGCAGGAGACAGATCACCTGATTCTGAGTTAAAACCCCACAGGACATTTATATGAGGTCAGTGTTGATACCTCCACATGACTCTTTATACAGAACAGTTCACAAAACATGACTTATAGACTGTACCATAAAAGGGCTTTTAGGAAGCATTTAATTAAAGCCCCAATTCTTTTCTTAATATATGATGCTTACTGAAAAATATTAGACGTAAAATTAAAAAAAAAACATGAATCTCATTGGTAATTCTACCACATTTCAAATATATCACACTTAATAGTTTGGTAAATATATTTCCATGTCACCCCCTGTTTTGGTACTAACATATGCAAGTATTTTTCTAAACAAAAAAAAAGTGATAATATTTAACCTGCTTTTGACTCCCAATAAACAGTGCAGTTTTTTTCTGTTAATATTCTAAAATATAAAATATAGTCATACAGGGAGGGGAACAACACACACTGGGACCTCTTGAGGGTTGGGGTTGGGGGAGGGAGAGCAGCAGTAAAAATAGCTAATGCATGCTGGGCTTAATACCTAGATTATGGGTTGATAGGTGCAGCAAACCACCTTGGCAAATGCTTACCTATGTAACAAACCTGCACAACCTGCACATGTACCTAAGAACTAAAAATTAAAATTAAAATATCACCATAATGGCTGCATAGTATTCCACTGAATGAAAGCAAAATAATTGGCGTTATCTTTGCTCAATAGAGCAAAACGAGTTTTCATTTTTAAAAATTGTTTTCATTTTTTATTATGAATAACTTGACAGATATTCCTAGAGTTAAATACATACTATCTTCAATGGGATAAAAGAAAATGAAAGAAATGCTACATTAAAGACAATGCACTTTTAAAAAGATTTTAGGTACATACTATTAAAATCTCTACAGAAAGGTTTATTAGTTGTCATTTTACCCGTTAGTATAGGAGAGTGTCTATTTCCCTAAACATTCATCAATATTACGTACTATTTTTAACAAGTATTGCCAAACCATTGCTGAGTTCTCAGGGTGTCTTCAAGGCAATTTAACATGATGGTTAAAACACAGCCCCTAGAGGCAGGCTGGAACTGGGGCTCTGCTGTTTGCTATGTTGTGACCTTTGGCAAGTAACTTAACATCTCTGTGTCTATAAAATGGAGACTTTAGTAACATGAAGGGTTGCATGTTATATATGATAACATATAGAGAGGAAGTAGAATGTAGGTAAGAGATATTTTAATTGTGAATTACTATTCTTTAATTACAAATGAATTTGAGCACTTGAATAAGTTTGCTAACCATTTGTTTCTCTTTTTCTCAACTGTAGCTTGCTGTGTTTAGCCCACTTTTATATTCAAAGATTCTTTTTCTTTTCTTAACTTTATAAGAAGGTTTTATATGTTAGGAATATTACTTTTTGCCTTTCACATGTTGCAAATAAGCCTCATATTTTCAAACAAGCACCCTGAGACCCAGAGAGATTAAGCTCTGTGTCTTCTAATGTTCCATCCAGGTCTCTTAATTTGCTTCATTTTTCATTCATTTGTTGTCACAAAGCTTTTCCTTTTTGTTTTTTACTTTTGGTGAGTTGTCGATTTTATTCCTCTTTTTTTCTTCATGTTCAATCCAAATTTGAACTTAAATAAATACAATTACACCTTGTTAACAAAGGCCTCTGGAAGAAAAGTAATTTCAAGAAAATTGTAAAATTGACTTATTACTTCAGATGTTGAGCTCTATGTGTCTTTTGTGATTCTGTTCACATCCTCTGAAGTCTGTTCTAACCATACCTGTCTGTTTTCCGGTTATGCCAGGCAAAATTTTAAGTTGAATCCTGTGATGGTTAGTATTGATTGTCAACTTGATTGGATTGAAGGATGCAAAGTATTGGGCACTTATTTCTTTCCTGTGTTCTTATACACTTTGTCATATTTAGATAATGCACTTCCCTTGCATTATTGAAATTGTCTTTATGTATGTTGGTCTCTCAGCAAACTGTGAGTTCCATGAGGGTAGGGACAATGTTTCTTTTGCTTTTCTGTCCTCAGAGCCTAATAGGCATTTGGAGAATGGCAAATCAGATCCCTTATATCAGGATGAGAATTAGCAGAACTATATGTCCAGAAGCTACCTGAGGCCTTCTGCCAGCTACATCTGCCATAGGAAGTTACAAAAGCAATTAAGTGTTCATACAACTCTAAACTTAACCATGCTACAGTAGAGGTGATTAAAAACAACAACAACAACAAAAAACTTAAGCACTGTTGATGAAAAGAGTTGAACTCTGTAAATTATTTGAAGAGATTTATTTTGAACCAAATATGTGTGACCATGACCTGTGACACAGCCATCGGGAGGTCCTGAGAACATGTGCCCAAGGTGGTTGGGGCTCAGCTTGGTTTTATACATTTTAGAGAGGCATGAGACATCAATCAGATACATTTAAGAAATACATTGGTTTGGTCCAGAAAGGCGGGATAACTCAAAGCAGGTGAGGGAGCAGTGGGGAGCTTCCAGGACATAGGTGAATTTAAACATTTTCTGGTTGACAGTTGGTTGAGTTTGTCTAAAGACCTGGAATTCACAGAAAGGGAATGTTCAGGTTAAGATAAAGATTGTGGAGACCAAAATTCTTTTGAAGTCTTATGGTGGCTGCCCTTAGAGACAATAGATGACAAATATTTCCATTCAGATCTTAGTCAGTCTCTTTAGGATTGGGAGGGTCTGGAAGAAAAAGATCTAGCTATGTTTATAGAGATTCTTTACAGATGCAAATTTTCCGCCACAAAGAACCACTTTACAGGGCCATTTCAAAATATGGCAAAGAAATATGTTTGGGGGTAAAATATTTTTATTTTCTTCCTTGTCTCATAATGTTATGCCAGAGTCAGTTTGGAAAGTAAGTCACAGTATATAGGGTTAAATAAAACCCGTCTAAGGAGAATTTACGATTTGTAGGGCATGACTCCCCACATCCCTTAGGAATTTGGGCAAGAAAAAAAAATCAGAGTTTAGTCCTCAGCACATAGAAAAATCATCTGACTTCTATTATCTTCCACTAAATCACTAAATCTTGGGCATGCCATTTGATCTCTCTGCATCACACTCTCTTTATCTGTAAATGAAATATTGGAACTAATTGAAATGCCTCTAAGGCCAGTGTTTTAAGTTCCAGTGTTTTATAGTTCTATAAGGCTTCAAACTAGAAACCACATATATTTGTGTTTTTATTTTTTTTTAACTTTTAGGTTCCAGGGTACATGTGCAGTTTCATTATATAGGTAAATTGTGAGTCACGGGGGTTTGGGGTGCAGATTTTCTCATCACCTAGGTAATAAGCACAGTACCTGGTAGGTAGTTTTTCAATCCTCTCCCTCCTCCCACCCTCAAGTAGGCCTTGGTATCTGTCCCCTTCTTTGTGTCCATGGGTACTCAATGTTTAGCTCCCACTTTTAAGTGAGAGCATGCGGTATTTGGTTTTCTGTTCCTGCATTAGTTCACTGAGGATAATGGCCTATAGCTCCAACCATGTTGCTGCAAAAGACATGATCTCACCCACTCTTTTTTATGGCTGCATAGTATTCCATGGTGTGTATGTACCACAGTGTTTTGTTTGTTTGTTTGTTTGTTTCTAATCTAATCTACCACTGATGGGCATTTAGATTGATTCCATGACTTTGCTATTGGAGATCACATATTTGAAAGAGAAAAGCAAGAAATAAACAAGAATAGGAGTGAACCCATGTTCACTAGATCTAATGATCTGTCTCATATACTTGAGGGAGTTCCTTATTCAATGGAGACAAACAAAAGAACAACAAAACACAAAAATAATTATAAAAACATCAAGATAGCCTTCACCCCATAGGATTGTATTTATGATAACAATTCTTAATCTTCTATTAACGGGGTTAAAACATTCTTTACTCTGCACAGCTGTTCTGTAGCTTTTAAGATATGGCAAAAATTGCAAAAGAATCCTGAATTTTAAAGGAAGGGATACCAAAATAGTGTGCATATTATGGCTACAGAAGCAGTGGCTTTGGTGCTTTTATTTGGAGCTACCATCATTTCCACTTAGCTCATTTCTGTATGAAAATGAAACTAATCAGCTTCAGTGCATGAAACCATTAGCTACTACTTCAAAGTGCTGCTTTTCACAAAGGTCAAAGAGGGCCCACCCAGCAGCAACAGGAATTTTGCAAGTGATGTGTGTCACATTTGCATATGATAATTAGTTTCTCTATAAATACAATTTGTTCTGCAGATTAACATTTTGTGTCCTCATTAGATAGCAAACATTTCCATATTAAACCCACAAAGCTGCCAGCGTTGGCTCTGCTTGCATTGCATGATAGCATTAATACCTTTGTTTATACTGATGCCAATTAGTAGTGCTAAGTCTTGGAAGAATAAAAGAGATCACTAATGCTATTAATATAAGTAGTAATAATAATGTTGAGAAGCTTTCACAAACCTTGTTAACTTCAAAGATCATTAGCAGTAAAGTACCACTGGGTTGTAAATGGCTGCGTTCTTGGACACATAAAGTATAAGCATATCTAGAATGCTCTGGTCTGCCTTCTCCTGGCTTACAACAATGCCAGTCTTAAATGATTTGCATGCTGTAAACAGGAGCAAGCAATTAAAACGTTGTTTTCTTTTGCTAAATGCATTTAGTTCAATAAGGAAAAAGGATGTGCTCTAGCCAGAAGAAACAGCAGTTTGCTCAACTTGTGTAGCTCATTGCAACACAGTTTGCTGTCATTTACCAGGCCAACTTCTCTAAGGCGGCGAGGCATTTTATGGTTCCATAAAAGGTTTTTATAAAACAAGATGACCTGGAATTTCTCAGGGGAGGATTTAGTTTTCACTGGACCAGAGTGGCAAGTTCTCTGAGGAGGTTGTTGAGGGATATAGAAGACGGTGATAGATACATGAGAGATGGGGTGGTGGTTGTCACCTGTTGCATTAATCTTTTAATACTGAGTAGAGGAGGCTGTGTCAGACAGATGCTCCCTTGTGAAGTGTTAGTTCTGCACCTGAAAGGGCTGCACTTACATGAAGACTAGTAGTCATTCACCCACAGTTCAGTGACAAGGTATGGATGATCATATAGTCACTGTTGGTAAGCACATTTCTTACAGTAATTAACTAACTTCATTTCTCGGCCTGTTTTTGTTTTGTTTTGTTTTTGAGATGGAGTCTCACTTTGTCGCCCAGGCTGATGTTCAGTGGTGCGATCTTGGCTCACTGCAACCTCCACTTCCCAGGTTCAAGCGATTCTCCTGCCTCAGCCTCCCAAGTAGCTGGGATTACAGGTACATGCCATCATGCCTGACTAATTTTTGTATTTTTAGTAGAGACGGGGCTTCACCATGTTGGCCAGGCTGGTCTTGAACTCTTGACCTCAGGTGATCCACTCTCCTCGGCTCCCCAATGTGATGGTATTACAGATGTGAGCCACCGCACCCAGCCTTCCTGCCTGTTTTTTGTTTGATGTGGTGTATATACTTAGATTCAGCAATTTTAAAAAACATTGATTAAAGCACCAGTTAATCAACTGCGATATTCAACCAAAATTTAAATGCTTTACCATTGGAGTTTGGGCTGGGACACAGAGCCCAAACTAAATTTTACTAAAATGCAGAATTTTATATCATTTCAGAAGTCAGGCTCACAGCTCTGCTATTACTAGCTGGGCAATTTTGGATGAGACAGTTTCTCTGTCTTAATTTCCTCATCTGTGAAATGGAGACGAGAATTGTACATACCTCACAAAATTATCATGAGGATTAAATGAGCTACTCCAGTGGTAACACAATGCCTGGCCCAAAAAACAGACTCCAGTGGATACAAGCTATTGTTCTCAGTTTTGCATACTTAATATTTCCTGATGCTGGGGGAACAACAGTTACAAAATAACATCTCTCTTGGCAGATTGATAAGAACTCCAGTCTTCCTCAAATCTTACCCAGGAGGCGTCACATGTGCCAGACACAGAACCCTCTCCTCTCAGCTGTGACCTGAGTTCTCTATTCTCCTGCCTCTAGTTGTTTCTTAAATATCACCTGTCACTCAGATGGTGTTTCCTTCACCACTTCCCCATCCTTGCACCTGCCTTGCTGTGGAGCTAATTTTGTCTTATCCAATATGACATGATATTCTGCCATTGTCTCATCTTATGTGGTATACAGCATCACTCAAGTTTCAGAAGAGTGTAGTCTTATATTTTCACTGTTGACCAAAGATTTCTGTAACCTTGGTCTTTTGTTCTCACTATTCTATCACTCCAAGCTTTGGCACAAGTTCCTTGTGGGAAGAAAACTGGATCCACATAAGTAGTTGAGTCCATACCTCCAATCATTCTTCCCTTCTTATGCGGACCTATGGCCCTGAAGAATGACTTGTGGTTGGTGATATGGTTTGGATCCCATGTTCAGTTGTAATCCCCAATGTTGGGAGTGGGGCCTGGTGTGAGGTGACTGGATCATGGGGGTGGATCCCTCATGTTTGGTTTAGCACCATCCCTTTGGTGCTATTCTCATGATAGAGTTCTTATGAGATCTGGTTGTTTAAAAGTGTGTAGCACCTCCCCCTACTCTCTCTCCCTCCTGCCCTGACCATGTAAGACATGCCTGCTTCCCCTTTGCCTTCCACCAATGATTTTAAGTTTCCTGAGGCCTCCCCAGAAGCCAAGAAGATGCTGCCATGCTTCCTATACAGCCTATGGAAACATGAGCCAATGAAACCTCTTTTTTCTATAAATTACCTTAGGTATTTCAGAGCAAGAATGGACTAATGCGGTTGGTTAGCTAGTTAATCATTGGCTTCGCCCTTTAGCCCTTCATACAGGAAATACACAATGGTATACAATGAATACCCTTCAGGTCCATTCCTGCTGTTCATGTTTCAATCCTCAATGTGAATATCTGGAAGACTCCCTTGCTGAGATTTCTGCTGTATGTTTCTGGGTGTGAAAAGGAACCAGGGACATTTAATATACAAAAGAGGAAGTTTAGGGAGGCCATGTTAATTTCTCTAAATACCTGAAGGACTGCCCAGTGGAAAGAAAGATTAATCTGCTTCCGACAACCAAGCCAATAGATGGAGGTTATAGGAAAAAAAGAGATGTTAGCTAACAAGAAAGAACATTCTAATGATCATAGCTGCACAAGGAGGCCTGCTCTGGGAGAAAATGAGCTCTTTGTTTTAGAGATATTCAAGCAAAGGCTAAATGATAACTGGCAAGATGGCCAACAGAGGGGATTCATGCTTCAGATAAGAGTTGGCCTTGAGCAGTGATGGCTGTAAATTTCTCTGTGGGAGCATCTTTGGGCACCAACTAGTATGAAAGGACTACTGGCATTTAAGGGAGACTTTAATAATTGCCTTATAATTATATGTTACACAATGCTTCATATAAAATGAAGAAGTAACAGTTATCCTTATCAAAGCACAAAGTGATAGGCCGAAGGTCATTGCTCATTCATTCTACAAATGTTCATTGAACCTTTATTATGCCTAGAAAAGCAGACACGTTTCTAGGTTTTGGGGCAGGATATTGAGCAAGACAATGTTTACTCTCTTGAGCAGGCATTCTAGTAGGAGACAGGGATAGGCCTGTAGACAAAAGAAAAAGTAGATACAAGTCAAGGTAGATATCTTTTAAGACACTCCATCAACTTATCTTTTTACCACTTCATCTAGGGTTCTTTTTTCCATGAGTCTCTGCTACACCATCCTCCAACACTAGTACAGTCAGATTAAAGGGAAAACAGCTGATAGACAATAAATTAAGTCTCTGGTCCTGAAAAATGTGATGAGTGGATTTCTCCTACTAGCTGTTTCTCTCCTTCTCTAGATTCAACATGGAAGAGTAAGAACCCTCTCATTCACATGATAAATACTAAATAAATACACAATGAAAAAAATAGACTGTATTACCAATGGCCATAATAATACAAATATTTCTCTGTATTACTCAGGAGAAAAAGAATGTAAAATTATCTTTTTAGATCAGGTGTCCATCGAGTCCCTATGAAATGTCTGTAAACGTTCAAGGTCTAAGTCGTACATTTCCTTTGGAGTCTCTCATGAAACTGAATCTTCTAAACCCCCCACTGCTTCGATCACAAAATAGATTCTTGGAAGTGAAACAGGCCTGCTAAAAACTCTCCTTTAAGCAATGAAGGATGTAAGGAAACTGGAGGAGTTTCAAAGAATAATAACAAGAATGATTAAGGGGCTGAGAGCATGATTTATATTGAATGATTAAAAGGATTAAACATGCAGAACTTGGCCAGTGCTACACACTTAGTTATAAAAAACATCAGAATCAAGTGCCAAAGCTCTCAGCTCCCATGAAAAATACAAATTTGCATATGATTTGGCACATATTTCTAAGTGAAGTTCAGCAGATCTTTACCGAGGCAGCATTCATACAATGCCAAAACCACTTGTCTGGTCATTTTAAAGTACAGCCTGGTGATGTCAGTAAAAACTTGCTATTTGACTTCATTGAATAGACAATTAAAACAAAATGTGCCCACCCAGGGCTGCCATCCACATGTGATGCATCCATAAAGTATATAAAATAATGTAACACATAATCATTTACTGTATTAGTCTGTTCTCATGCTGCTATAAAGAACTGCCTGAGACTGGGTAAATGATAATGGAAAGAGGTTTAATTGACTCACAGTTCCACAGGGCTGGGGAGGCCTCAGGAAACTTACCATCATGGCAGAAGAGGATGCAAACATGTCCTTTACATGGCGGCAGGAAGGAGAAGAAGGAGAACTGAGGAAAGGGGGAAGCCCCTATAAAACCACCAGATCTTGTGAGAACTTACTCACCATCATGAGAATAGCATGGAAGAAATGCCCCCATGATTCATTTACCTGCCACCAGGTCCTTCCTATGCCACGTGGGGATTATGGGAACTACAATTCAAGATGAGATTTGGGTGGGAACACAGCCAAACCATATCATTTACCCTAGAGTCACAAACCAAAATTCCTACAGATAGCAGACAGGCAATCACATGAGTGAAGTGGGCTAAGCATAAAGGGTGCAGGGCCTATGGGTTCCAGCCAATGTTTCCATGTGGGTATTTTGGCCAAGAGCTGACAGATCTTCTTGTCTATCAGATGACGCCAGTGATTAAGGGTGCTTTCAGCAGCAAGTAATGAAAGAGCAACACAAAAAGGGGGAGCTGGTGGAGCCAGTTACCCTAGAGCTGCATATCTCCAGAGTAGGAAGAGGAACTACTGGGTTAGGAGGAGGGAATAGAAATCGATGTGAAAAGGAAATCAAGTGGTAGTCATTAGAATTTAAAAATCCATGTTGTTAATATTTTTAAAAATCCACTGACTTAAAACACATGGACAGAAATACCATTCTTTGGATATTAGCTTGTTGCCACTTATCTGGCTAACTTCTTTGTTTTAGAGCTAGAAAATAGATCCAGGGAAAAAACATTCTCAAATGCATAGTAAATGTAGATCCAGGGAAAGGGAAAAAACATTCTCAAATGCATAGTAAATGGATCATCAGAAGAACTGATTAGAAGCAGTGGCCTAGGAAAGAATATCTGGGTTCTTTTCTGATTTTGTTGTCGGAGTGATTTACTTCTAGGTTCATAACTTTGAACTTTCTTTTCAATTACTTTTTATTGTATAGACAACATAAAATTTTCCATCTTAACTGTTCTTAAGTTTATAACCCAGTGATGTCGAGAAATACATTGTGCAAACATCACCACCCTCCATCTCCAGAACCTTTTTTATCTTGCAAAAATGAAACTCTGTATGTATAAAACAGTAAGTCTTTATTCCCTCTCCCTGCAACCCCAGACAACCACCACTCTACTATCTGTCTCTTTGAATTTGAGTACTCTTATGTACCCCAAATAAATGGAATCATATTTTTTTTGTGATTGGCTTATTTCACTTACCATGAAGTCCTCAAGATTTATCTGTATTGTAGCATATGTCAGAATTTCCTTCCTTTTTAAGACTGATAATATTCCATTGTATGTATATACCACATTTGCTTTATCCATTCATCCATCAGTGGGTATTAGGTTGCTTCTACCTCTTGTGAATAATGTTGCAATGAACAGGGTGTGCAAATATATTTTTGAGATGCTGTTTTCAATTATTTTGGATATGTACCCAGAAGTGGGATTGTTGGATCATGTAGTAATTTTACTTTTAATTTTTAAATAAACCTCCATATTGTTTTCCATAGAAGCTGCACCATTTTACATTAACATGAAGAGTGCACAAGGATTCCAGTTTCTCCATATCCTTGCTAATGCTTGCAGTTTTTTGATAGTGGCCATTCTAATGGGTGTGAGATGATATCTCACTGTAGTTTTAATTTGATTTTCCTGATGATTAGCAATGTTGGGCATCTTTTCATATGCTTGCGGACCATTTGCATATATTTGGAAAAATGACTGTTCAAGTCCTTTGACTGTTTTTCAATCGCATTGTTTGGTTTTTGTTCTTCAGATTTAGAACAAAAACAGAATTCTTTATATGTTCTAGATACTACCCCTCATCAGATACTTAATTGTATGTATTTTTTTCCCATTCTGTGGGTTGGCTTTTTACTCTGTTGATAGTATCTTTTGATGCACAAAAATTTGAAATTGACATGAAGGCAATTTGTCCATTTTTTCTTTTGTTGCCTGTGCCTTTCATGTCATCTCTAAGAAATCATTGTCAAATCCAATGCCATGAAGACTTTGCCATAGGTTTTCTTTTGAGTTTTATACTTTTAGGTGTTACATTTAGGTCTTTGATTCATTTAATTTTTGCATATAATATTTGGTAAGAGTCCAATTTCATTCTTTTGCATGTGGATGTACAGTTTTCCCAGAACCATTAGTTTAAAAGACTATCTTTTCCCTGTTGAATGATGTTAGCCTCTTTGTTGAAAATAAGTTAACCATATTTGTGCAAGTTTATTTGGGGATTTTCTGTTCAACTCCTTGGTCTATATGTCTGTATTTCTTCAAGTGCCATACTTTTTTTGATTACTGTAGCTTTATAGTAAATTTTGAGATCTGGAAGTATGACTCCTTCAACTTTGGCCTTTTTAAAAGTTGTTTTAGCTATTTGGGGTTCTTGAGGTTTTATGTTAATTTTTGGATGGATTTTTCTATTTATGAAAAAATTATGATTTTGATAGATTGCATTGAATCTGTAGATCACTTTGGGTATTATTGACATCTATCAATATTGTCTTCCAACCCATAAACAGAGAATATCTCTTCGTTTGTCTTCTTTAATTTCTTTCACCAATGTTTTGTGGTTTTTATTTACAAGTCTTTCAGCTCCTTGGATAAATTAATGCCTAAGTATTTTATTCTTTTTGATGCTATTGTAAATAACATTGTTTTCTTATTTTTCAATTGTTCATTGTTAGTATAAAGAAATGCAACTGATTTTTGTGTGTTGACTTTGTATCCTACTACTTCACTGAATTCATTTATTTCTATTTTTTTGGAATTTTTAAGGTTTTCAATGTATAAGATAAATCATCTGTGAACAGAGATAATTTTACTTCTTCTTTTCCAAATTAGATGCCATTTACTTCTTGTCAATTGACCTGGCTAGAATTTATTGTATTATATGCACTAGAAGTGGTCAAAGTGGCCATCCTTGTCTTCCTGACGTTAAAGGAAGAGTTTTCAGTCTTTCACCATTTAGTATGAGATTTGCTGTGGGGTTTTCATATATGGCTTTTATTTTATTGAGGTTATTTCCTTCTATTCCTAGTTTGTTTAGTGTTTTTTTTTAATCGTGAAACTATTTATAGTTTGTGGAGTGTTGATTTTGAAAAGTGACTTTTCTGTGTCAATTGAAATAATCATGCACGTTTTTTCTTCATTTTGTTAATGTGGTGTATTATGTTGATCAACTTTCCTATGTTGAACACATTCTTGGATTCTGGGAATAAGTCCCAGCTAGTCATTGTGTACAATCCTCTTAATATACTGCTGAATTTGATTTGCTAGTATTTTGCTGAGGAGTTTTGCATCAGTGTTCACACTATTGCAATAAGCATTGCATTAATGTTCATGATCTGTAGTTTTCTTTTCAATGTGAATTCTGTTGATCATTCAAATAATCAAGCTTTGGTTTCATTGATTTTGTCTATTACTTTTCCATCCTCCATTTCACTTACTTCCATGCTAAACTGTATTATTTCCTTCTGCTACCTTTGAGTTTAGTTTTTTTTCCTAGTTCCTTAAGTTGTAAAGTTACTTTGTTGTTTTGAGATCCTTCTTGATTTTTAATATATTTACAGCTATAAATTGTGTCTTTAGCACTGCTTTTGCTGTGTCTCATAAGTATTGGTGTGTCCCATAATTATGTTCTGTTTTGTTTTCATTGATCTCTAAGTAGTTTCCAATTTCCCTTGTGGTTTCTTCTTTGATATATTGCTTGTTTAAGAGAGTATTGTTTAATTTCCAAAAATTTGTGAATTTTTCAGTTTTCCTACTGTTACTGATTTCTAACTTTATCCTGTTGTGGTCAGAGAAGATACTTTGTATGGTATCTATTTTAAAATCTATTGGGATATAGACATATGGTCTATCCTTGAAAATGTCCTATGTGCACTTGAGAAAAATGTGTATGTTGTTGAGTACAGTATTCTGAATATGTCTGTTAGATATAGTTGGTTTATTGTGTTAATTCCTCTAATTTCTAATGCATCTTCTGTCTAGTTATTCTGCTTGTTATTGAGAGTGGCGAATTAATGTCTCCAATTATTGGAACTATCTGTTTCTTCCTTTAATTTTGTCAGTTTTTACTTCACATATTTTGATGGTCTGTTATTAGGTGTGTAAATGTTTATAATTATTATATCTTCTTGCTATAGTAGATCTTTTATGAATGTATAATCTTTTTTGTCTCTTGTAACCTCTTTTGATTTAAAGTCTATTTTGTCTGATATTGGTATAGCCACCCCTGCTCTTTTTAGATTACTGTTTACATGAGGTATTTTTTCATCCTTCCACTTCAATCTATTAGTGTCTTTGGTGCTAGTGAGTCTCTTGTAGCTAGCACATGGTTAGATCATGTTTTTCTAAAAATGTATTTTGCCAATCTCTATCATTTGATTATGGAGTTTAATCATATACATTTAAAGTAATTACTGGTAAGGAGGGACTTCTGTCATTTTGTTATTTGTTATTTGTTTTATATCTTTTTTGGTCCCTGATTTATTGCATTATAGTATTCTTTGTATTTATAGTTGATTTTTGGTAGTGAAATGTTTTAAGTCCCTTCTCATTTCCTTTTCTGTATGTTTTATAGGTATTTTCTTCGTAGTTAACATGGGAATTAAATATAAAATCCTGAAGTTATAACACTCTAATTTGAATTTATACCATTTTAACTTTAATAATATAAAAAACTACTCCTTTACAGCTCTGTTCCCATCCCTTTCAGTTGATGTCACAAAATTACATTTTTATACATTGTATTTCCAAAACAATAAACTAATAATATTTTAAGCCATTAGTCTCTTAAATTATATAAAAAACAAAATGTGGAATTACAAGCCAAAGTTACAATAATACTAGCTTTTATAATTGCCCATGTATTTATTTATCTTAACTGTGCTCTTTATTACTTCCTATGGCTCTGAGTTAATGTCTAACGTCCTTTTGTTTTGACCTGCAGAACTCCCATCAGCACTTCCTACAGAGAAAGCCTAGTGGTAACAAACTCCCTCAGCTTTTGTTTATCTGAGAGTGTCTTAATTTCTCCCTCACTTTTTAAGAACAGTTTTGCCAGATATAAGATTCTTGGTTGAAATTTCCTTTTCTTTTGCACTGTATCAACCACTGCTTTCTGCCCTCCAAAGTTTCCAATGAGAAATCTGCAGATAATCCTGTTGTAGAGCCCTTGTATATAATGAATGGCTTCTCTCTTGCTGCTTTTAAGATTCTCTGTCTTTGGGGTTTGCAGTTTGATAATAATGTGCTTAAATTGAGTTTGTTGAGCTCCTCAGATGTTTACGTCTCTCATCAAATTTGGGAAACTTTTAGTCATTATTTCTTCAAATAATCTCTTTTTCCCTTTTTCACTCTGCTATCCTTCTGGGACTCACCACAATGCATATGTTGGTCCACTTGATGGTGTTTCATAGGTGTCTTAGGCTCTGTTGACTTTTCTTCAATCTTTTTTTTTTCTGTTCCTCATACTTGATAATTTTAATTGTCCTATCTTCAAGTTTGCTGATTCTTCTTTTTGCTCAAATCTAGCTTTGAATTCCTCTAGTAAATTTTTTATTTCAGTTTTTATGCTTTTCAGATCCAGAATTTATTTTTGGATTCTTTTTAGGTTTCCATCTCTTTATTGGTATTTCTATTTTGTTCATATGTTATTTTATTGACTTTATACATGTCTTCCTTTAGTTTTTTGAGAATCTTTAAGATAGTTGTTTTGAAGTTTTGTCTAGTAGATCTGTCTTCAGGTCTTCTTTTGGGAAATTTCTATTTATTTTTTTCTTTTGAATGAAATATATTTTCTTATTTCTTCATATGCCTTGTTATTTCTTTTCTGTCGAGGTGGCCATTTGAATCTAATAATGTGCTAACTCTGAAATTCGGACATTCTTTTTCTTAATGTTTGCTGTTTTTTCTAAATTATTATTGTTGCAGGCTGTTTCTGTGCCAAATACTGGTCTAAGGCATAAAATTAAGACCTTCTCAGATATTTTCTGAGCCTATGTTTTCCTCTGTGCATACACACTGACTTTCTAATTTTCCTATATATGCGGTTGCTTTTGAATGCCCTAGTCCTCCATGACTGGCTCAAAAGGGGAAAAAAAGAGAAAAGTAAAAGCGAGGAGAAGGCAACATCCCTTCAAATCTTCTGGAAGTCACTTTAGTCAGAAGGTGAGGGGCTTGCAACAATGGGGGAGGTATGACAAGAATGGCCACAGACTCTGTCTGTGCTTCTGTAATCAGAAGCAGCAATTAGTGATCAGAACACACATCTACAGTATTTGAAGAACACAGCCCTTTTTGGCCACTCTGGCTTCCGTACTCTATTAAGACCCTTAGAAGGAAAATACCCCTAAGAATTGTATAATTATAATTTCAACATGACAGGCACATATATACATCAGTGTACATTTACATGCAAGATAGACATGAATGAAGCTTTAATAAAAGGGAAGGGTTTTTAAAATAATTTTTATAGGACTATCTAGGTTGGTTGAGTTTGTGCACTGCACAATTCTAGGGGCTTCAGTGTCAAGTGCACATTCAATTTGTGGCACCGAGATGAGATATCAGGTGAACCCTCTGAGCCATGAAGTTGGGGGGAATTCTATTGTTGGAATGCTGAGATATCACAGCCCAACCATCTAAAAATATATTTGCCTAATTGCCAAGATTTCCTTATATGTTCCCTGCCTACTTGCTGCTACAATGACTTCTAGAGGGAGAGAATCAGAGAAGAGTTCTGGTGACAAAATGGAAAGTGGTTATACAGCTTCAAAAAGATAGAATGTTCATTCTGACAGGTAGGACACAACTTTGAGTAAGGAAAAGCAGTTGCCATTTTCAGAAAAAAAGGAACATTTGGACTAAACACCCTGAAAAATTTTGACAGCAAGAATTATGAGATTGGGGAAATATGTAGTAAAGGAAGTGGTGGAAACCCCATCCCTAGAGCCATTTGAAAGTCAACGGGATAAGGAAGTAGAAAATCTATTCTAAGAAAGAATCTTCCACTGCTTCCCCTGGGTCTGACAGATGACATAATGGGTCTCCTCCATCTCTGATTGTTACAGTTCTCAGACTTTATGTATTTTCCAGGGTTTTATAATGTTGCTGTTAGACCAGGCTGCCCACCTCCCTCTAAAAAGAAAAAAAAAATCAGACTCCAAACAAACCCTAAACTAGTTGCTCCAAGGAGTGCAAAGATATACCAAATGGAAATTGTGAATCATAAAATTCTCTAGTGTGAATTTCATTATTCCCTGAAGATAGTCTACCAAGATGAGAGACGTTGTCATCATTTTACTTTATTTATCTGTTTTTCTCTTTCTGGTACATTTTCATTTCAGGAGAGAAAAACCAATGGGACAGCAAATTCTCATAGAACTGGCTGAAAAGGATCTGTATTTTTTTCTTGCTGTCCACTTATTTTCCAACAAGAACCCTGGCTGTCTTTGTGATGACTCAGGAAGAGGAGGATTTGTGCACAGCCAAGAGGAAATAGGACCTCCATATTTGCCATTTGGATGCAGAGAATATGAACAGACTTCTCTGAGACCCAAGAACTGAAGAAATTGTTGGGTCCTCTCAGTAAAGTGGGTCTAAGAAGCATGTGTGAATGAGTGTTGGTTGGGCATGCAGGTGTTGTTAATTGTGTTTTTGCTCTTTTTTATACATATCTTTGTGTTATCTACTTACAGTTATAGACTCAGATATGGAAGAAATCTGAGTCTCACTCAGACAATTTGGGGTTTCATTCTTTTTTATATGTAAAATCTAAGAAATACCCTAGTAGTTAAGTGACTCGTCTGCACCGCCCAGTTTTCTCTCTGTGGCAGCAGCTCCAAGGGTAATCTAGTAGCAAAATCTAGAACCATGGCAAAAATGCAGAGAGAGAAATATATATTTTCATGGAATCAGTATACAACACTAAATGTAACTGGCCTTTTGGGAAAAAAAAAAAGGAGGGGGCGGTGGAAACCTGGTCTAACAATCGTCTCAGCCCTGTCTGGATTGTGGAAAAGGGCCCATAGCCCAGGCGCTCTTCCATGATTACATATTAACATACATGCATGTTGGAAACCTACTATATATATAATTGCTTTATGTCCACAGTAGATTTTAAATTCTTTTTTTTTCCCTAGCAAACATTCTTCTAGAGACTCTCAACTTTAATTTGAAAAAAAGGTAAAATCTCATTTGTCTTGATGAGGGCTACAGTGTACCCCTAGTGACCAGATATTCCATACTGAAATCATTGCTGTTTCTAACTCCAGGGCCAGTGAATCTAGGACTAGTGTTGAAGGGGAGAGTGCAGAATGAAGAACTATTTTCCACTCAGTTTTGCCTGTTTACATTTTACTACTAGAACCTCTCCTTTATTGCTTCGTTTAGAATCTGGATTAGCAAAGCGTCAGGAGCTTTCATGTTTATCACACAATTTAAAATGGAATGAAACACACACCATCACAAAGCCCAGGTGTTGGATTAGAATTTTTTTTTTTTTGCTTTAAAAATGGTTTTTATTTCTATTTTTATTTTATTTATTTTTTCTTCAACTTTCATTTTAAGTCCCAGGGTACATGTGCAGGATGTGCAGGTTTGTTACATAAGTAAACAGGTGCCATGGTGGTTTGCTCCACAGATCACCTAGGTACTAAGCCAAGCATCCATTAACTATTTTTCCTGATGCTCTCCCTGCCCCCACCCCCACTGAAAGGCCCCCGTGTGTGTTGTTCCCCACCATGTGTCCACATGTTCTCATCATTCAGTTCCCACTTATAAGTGAGAACATACGGTGCTCAGTTTTCTGTTCCTGCGTTAGTTTGCTGAGGATAGCATCTTCCAACTATCCGTGTCCCTGCAAAGAATGTGATCTCCTTCCTTTTTATGGCTGCATATTATTCTTTGGTGTATATGTATCACATTTTCTCTATCCAGTCAATTATTGATGAGCATTTGGATCAATTCCATGTATTTGCTACTGTGAATAGTGCTGCAATGAACATATGTATGCATGTGTCTTTATAACAGAATTGTTTACATTCCTTTGGGTACATACCCAGTAATAAGATTGCTGGGTCAAATGTTATTTCTGCCTTTAGGTCTTTGAGGAATCACTATTTTGTCTTCCACCGTGGATGAACTAATTTATACTCCCACCAACAGTGTAAAAGCATTTCTTTTTCTCTGCAACCTTGCCAGCATCTGTTATTTATTGACTTTTTAATAATGGCCATTTTGATTGGCGTGAGCTGGTAACTCATTGTGGTTTTGATTTGTATTTCTCTAATGATCAGTGATGTTGAGCTCTTTGTGTATATAAATTGTGTGATTCCAACTCAGTGCTGTCTAACCCTCAACCCTCCTTGCCCTCCTCTCTTCCGTTCCCCTTCAGAAATGTCTGAATCCAGTTTTTCTTCAGAATACTTTCTCCAGGCAATGTTGGAAGTTTTCTTTCCAACTTCCAGTCTTTTCTGCTCTGTCTTGATCAATAAACGTGTTCTTTTGCTTGTAGCCTAGGGCCAAAGCCTGTGTGTTAAAGTGATGTTGTCACAAAATGCCTGGTGATGTCATAAAGCACTGGGAGATCTGGCAAAAGCAGCAATCCTCATTTTTATGTCCCCAGAAAATTATTGGTACCCAAAGGGCCATCACATCTTCTGTCTATGCACCAGTTGTTGTAGAAATAGTGAAGGCCTAGTTAACTTCGTGCATTTACATGTTTGACAGATTTCTATAAAAGACTGTGTAGAGAATATAGATTTAAGGAGCCGAAGTTATTAAAATGGGGTGGGGTGAGAGGAACTAGGCCAATAAAAGCAGACAACGTGGTTTTTTAATCCTTTCCACAGGAATTCAGGCAAAAGGGGAATAAAATAATTCTACAGGGTCACTTGTAATTCAGCTTAAACTAAGCTCAGGAAACTGAATAATATTTCTCAGAAGGCTGATTTATGCACTTAAAGTAACTAAGTCCCAGGTGTCATAGGAAGTAATACAACATCTAGCAATGTCCTAGCCTGCATGCTCAAACTAGCTGCCTAAATAAATTTCTAACTTCTCTTTAAAACATTTCAGAGTGAGTTCTACTGGGATTGCTACAGCCCTAGATTCTCTGTTAGAAGGGGCTGCCTCAGTAAGAAAAGCCCAGGGACCTAGGTAGGTTCTGCATTATAAACAAATTGTGTTCCAAAGTTTGTCTGTGAATCATTTCTTTGGAAACCTAAACATATTTTCTTTACAGAAACAGAGGTAGACACAGTTAGGCTCCCTGGCTTTCATAACCCTCCAAAGTCTATTTAAACCATATGCAGGTCAAATCCCCTCTGCTACATAAAAACTAGAGAATAATCACTTAATCACACAAACCAAGGGAGAGGAGATCAGATTTAATAAATGTTTTTTTTCATTTATTCCCTCCCCCCTCCATTTATCCCTTAATTAGAAGAGGGTAAGTGATAGATGGAAATTTGGTGGATGTCCTGACGGAGATTTCCAACACTTTCAAGGATTTTAGACGCCAATGGCACAGATTCTTTATTAACTAATTATGCATAATTTATCTTTTATGACAGAGAAAATAGCAAGGAAAGTGGCTCAGCAGAGAAAGGAAAGGGAAATACCTAGCAATTTCTATGGGAAAAAAAAGGCCCTTTCAGGGTAACTGTTATTGCTATATCAGGACATCTTGGAAGCTAAGTGTTTCAAAGTCAAATGTACTTGGAGCCATGAAGCTTCATTTTTCTCTTTGGTTCCAGTGACCTCACTTACCCAGGTCTTTATTAGGCATGCTAATAAAAAGTAAAATAAAAACAGTTTTGGCAGTCTATGTCTTTTTTTTCCCTCAAAAATGCCCTGAAGTGGTGGTACAGAGTGGAATTAACACATCCTAAATGCAGGCAGTCGGAAGGAGACAGAAGAGAAACAAAGGGCTGGATACCCCACATACTGGATAAGAAGAGCCTGATAACGGAGTTGACTGTATTTGGAATTTGCCTGTTTCCTTCTGTAAAGGAGACAGGGAGCTGAATGAAGTGCTTATCTAAGAAGTGTCAGAACCCTTGCGCAATGTTGTTACAAGGATGTTAGTAAAGCAGGGGGAACGTTTTGGCAGGTACAGATGGGATTCTGTTTGACGGAATGTATTTTCTTGCTATGTGTTAATCTGTGCTCTTCTGGTATCAAGCCCTTAAGGAGTTTGGATAAAGCCTTTAGGGAACCCACCTTTAACCCTCTCTTTAGTATACATTACAAGGAATTTAGCATCCCATATGTGACACGGATGGAACTAAATAATTGCAGTGGGGTGTTGGGAGAAAATCACCCTAAAGCAGGCAACTCCTGCCTAGAAATTATAGCTGGAGAAATCTGGCTAAGCAAGAAATCTCTGGAATATTCCACATGAGACTAAGGGATAGGTTGATGGATTTCTAACAGGTTACACCCAACTCCAAGTGAGAAGTCATTTGAAAGAGTCCCAGCTGGACGTCACAGGCCCCTAATGAGAGAACACAATGAAGCCAGTATATCCACATGAAAAAGTTGAATTCAAAGAGGACTCTAAGAGGGCCTAGACAAAGCAGTTTGGAGTTTCAGAGGAGCAAACACCATTCCATAAGGTCTTCAATCTTAACCCACTGAAACAATGTAAAAGTCTTCTCTTCCCTCTATTTAAGTCAGAGCAAGTTTTTAGCAGAATTTAAACTCAAAAGATGAGGAAAAAGACCACATTCCACAAGAGTAACTAAAATGATAGTAAAAGAGAAGCAATTTTTGTCTCCATAAAAATAACCTTGGAGTTGCAGTTCACAGCACCTAAAAAGCACACTACCATGTACTTAGCACCAAAGGAATATCAGATGAAGTGAGATTTCTAAAGTAATGCAGATCAAGGGCAAAGGGAATAGCTCGTGGTCAAGAACAAATGTAAAGGAATGACATGGGTAACTACAGAATCAAGAGAGTCACCCAGAGGGAAAGAAAATTCATTGGAATATGTGACGGGCAGGAATTAGTGATGAAGAGAGAATACCAAACAAGAAAAGGGAGACGTGGGGCATTGAGAATGGATGGCAGGAGATAAGCTACTCTATTCCCTGTGGGTTTGATCTTCCCTGATAAAGAAAATTGTGTCCAAATTCGGAAGGATAAAATAAACACTGTAAAGGAGAAACTGAAGCCCAAGATAGGTGAATCATTTCAAAAGGCATCTAGCTCCTAAAATACATGCAAATGTTTAGGTCTAGATACATTTGCCCTAAACTACAAAGAAAACTTTGCAGATTGAATTTATTTTTTTAATTACTTAAAAATAATTAGAGGGGGAGCCAAGATGGTTGACTAGATGCAGCCAGGAAGAGCTTCTCCCTCAAAAAGAGACAAGACTGCCCAGTAGACTGGCACACTCTGCACAGATCTTTAGAGGGATGGCATTGAGAGTGGACAGTGGGAGGACATGGACCGTGGGCTGAAGGGTGGGGAGGGGAAGCTGGGAACCTCGCACAAGATTCCTGAGCGCTAGGACTCTTTCCTGGCCCTGAGCAACTCCTACTGAAAAGGTGAGTGAAACAGGTGTGGAGTGGCCCACTCTTGTAATGGACCTCTGGTATCCTAGCCACAGGAGACCCCAAGACCCCCATAAACATCTGAGCTGGCAGGAGGAACTGCCCAAAGAGTTGGCAGAGACAGAACTCCAGCCTGCCCATAGCCCCAAAGGTTTGGCATGGGAGTGGCTGGAGTAGAGAGTACGGCCATGGGCACCCATTCCCCAGGCTTGCCATATTCTTCTAGGTGGTTCTAGCCTTTGTTGACTGTCTGACCTGGGCAGAACAGGGCTGTCTTGTCCCTGGGATAGGGACAGTCTGACCTGAGCACCCCCTGTCTTCCAGCCTCTTCCAGGGTCCCTGCGTGGCCACATCTGCTTGCAGTGCAGCCTCAGCTTGCCAGTGACCACTGCCATATCTCTCTTGCCAGCAGACCCTGCCTAACAGAGCACTTTGGCAGATAGACCCCACCCGCACCTACCAGCAGCCTTCCCCTGCCGGAGCACACTTGCTTGCAGCCTCCCCTGGCTGCTCCACTAGTGCACACACGTGCATCAAACCCCACCTCCCTGCCAGCATGCATATACTTGGGGACGCCTACCATCTCACCAGAGTGCTTTTGCCAGCATCTCCTGTCAGAGTGTTGTTGCCAGCAGACTGTGAACACCTTGATGCCTCTAGCACAGCAGGTGCTTGACTTGGAGGGACCAGAGAACAAAGTTGCTGGCCTGGTGCCAGCCCTACAAGATTAGAGCATGTAGTCTAGGAATACTGAGCTGAGCTTTGGCCCCCTGAAAGCATTCAGAAATGAAGCCCATCAACTAAACCTAACTTATATCATGACCAAACCCTCAAGGGCGCAAAGAATATAAAAGCAAAAGGCTTCATTTGAAAGGCAGCAACTTCAAAGATTCAAAGAACATCAGCCCACACAGATGAGAAAGAACCAGCACAAAAATTCCTGCAACTCTAAAAGCCAGAGTGTTGTCTTATCTCCAAACAACTGTACTAGTTCCCCAGCAATGGTTCTTAACCAGGATGAAATGGTTGAAATGACAGACATAGAATTTGGAATCTCTATGGCAAGAAAGCCCATGGACATACAGAGGAAGGTTGAAACCCAATCTCAGGAAATCAGTTTGAGTTGAAAGATGACATAGCCATTTTAAGAAAGAACCACATTGAACTTTTGGAAATGAAAACTGCATTATAGGAATTTCAGAATTTAATTGGAAGCACTAATAACCGAATAGATTAAGCTGAGGAAAATCTCAGCTTGAAGGCAATTCCTTCAAATTAATGGAGGCAGACAAACATTTTAAAATATGATTTTAAAAATGAGTGAAACCTCTGAGAAATACGGGATTATGTAACGAAACCAAACCTATCATTTACTGGCACATTCCTGACAAAGATGGAGAGAGAGCAAGCAACTTGGAAAACATATTTGAGGATACTGTCCATGAAAATTTCCCCAGTCTCACTAGAGAGGTCAACATGCAAATTCAGGAAACCCAGAGAACCCCTGCCAGATGCTATACAAGATGACATAGAGTCATCAAGACACACAGTCATCAGATTCTCCAAAGTCAACACAAAATTTAAAAATTTTAAGGGAGCTAGAGAGATGGTGCATGTTTTCTGCAAAGGGAACCCTATTAGGCTAACAGAGGATCTTTCAGCAGAAGCCTTATAGGCCAGAATAGACTAGGGGACTCATCTTTAAAAAAAGAAATTCCAAACTAGAATTTCATATCCAACCAAACTAAGCTTTATAAGTTTATAAGGAGAACAAAATCCTTTCAGACAAGCAGATACTAAGGGAATTCATTACCACCAGGCCTGCCTTACAAGAGGTCCTGAAGGGAGTGCTAAACCTGAAAATGAAAGACTGATAACCCGCCACCACAAAACACACAAGTAAATAGACCACTGACGTTATAAAGAAACAATACAATGCAAGTCTACATAACAACCAGCTAACAACATGATGCCAGGATCAAATTCTCACATATCAATATTAACCTTGAATGTAAATGGGCTAAACACCCCACTAAAAAGACAGAAAGTGGCAAATTGGATAAAGAAGAAAGACCCGGCTGAGTGCAGTGGCTCATGCCTATAATCCCAGCACTTTGGGATGCCAAGGTGGGTGGATCACTAGAGTCCAGGAGTTCAAGACCAGCCTGGCCACTATGGCAAAACCCCATCTCTACTAAAAATACAAAAGTTAGTGGCACATGTCTGTAATCCCAGCTTCTCGGGAGGCTGAGGCATGAGAATCACTTGAACCTGGGAGGTGGAGGTTGCAGTGAGCCAAGATCATGCCACTGCACTCCAGCCTGGGTGACAGAGGGAGACTCTGTCAAACAAAAAAAAAAAAAAAAAAAAAAAAGAAGAAAGACTCAATTGTTAGCCTGTTGATGCTGTCTGCATGAGACCCATCTCGAGTGCAATGACAACCATAGGCTCAAAGTAAAAGGAAGGGAAAGATACATCAAGCAAATGGAAAACAAAAGAAAGCAGGTTGCTATTCTTCAGACAAAATAGATTTTTAAACCAACAATGATCAAAAAGGATAAATAAGAGTATTACATAATGATAAGGAGTTCAATTCAATTCAACAATAAAGCTTAACTATTCTAAAGGTATATATACCTAACACTGGAGCACCCAGATTTATAAAACAAGGTTTTGAAGACCTACAAAGAGACTTAAATAACCACAAAATAATGATGGGAGACTTAAACACCCCACTGACAGTGTTAGATCACTGAGACAGAAAACTAACAAATATATTTGGGACTTAAACATGACACTTAACCAAATAAACCTAACAGACATCTACAGAATACTTCACCCAACAAAAACAGAATATACATTCTTCTCATTTGCACATGGCACATACTCTAAGACTGACCACATGCTCAGCCATAAAGCAATTCTTGACAAATTCAAAAAACCAAAATCATACCAACCACACTCTTGTACCGCAACCCAATAAAAATAGAAATTAATGAGAAGAAAATCTCCCAAACCATACGATTACATGGAAATTAAACAACCTGCTCCTGAATGACTTTTGGGTAAAGAATGAAATTAAGGCAGAAATCCAAAAATTCTTTGAAACTAATGAAAATGAAGATATATTGTATCACAACCTCTGGGACACAGCTAAAGTAGTGTTAAGAGGACAGTTAGCACTGAACACCTATATCAAGAAGTTAGAAAGATCTCAAATTAACCTAACATCACTCTAGAACTGAACAAAGTTGTGACACAAAAATTCATACAAAAGGTCAATGAAGCCAAAATTGATCATCTAAAAGTATAAATAAAATTAGTAGACCACTAGCTGATTAATAAAGAAAAAGAAATCCAAATAAACACAATCAGAAATAACAAAGGTGACATCACCACTGATCCCACAAGAATACAAAAAACCCTCAGACACTATTATGAACACCTCTATGCATACAAATTAGAAAACCTAGAAGAAATAGATAAATTCCTGCCAACATACAACCTCCCACTATTGAACCAGGAAGAAACTGAAATACTGAACAGATCCATAATGAGTTTTAAAATTTAATCAGTAACAAACCTATCAACCAGAAAAAGCCCTAGACCAGACACATTCACAGCTGCATTCTACCAGACATATAAAGAAGAGCTAGTACCAATTTTGCTGAAATTATTTGAAAACATCAAGGAGGAAGGATTCCTCCCTAGCTCATTCTATGAGGCCAGCATCATTCTAATACCAAACCTGGCAGAGACACAATAAAAGAAAACTTTAGGCCAATATTCCTGATAAACATACATTTAATGCTCCTCAACAAAACACTAACAAATCAAATCCAGCAGCACATCAAGAAGCTAATGCACCACAATCAAGCAGGCTTTATCCCTGGGATAAAAGATTTGTTCAACATACGCAAATCAATAAATGGGATTCATCACATAAACAGAACTAAAAGCAAAAACAACATAATCATTTCAATAGATTCAGAAAAGACTTACAGTAAAATTCAATACCCCTTCATATCTAAAACTCTCAACAAACTAGGCACTGAAGGAACATACCTCAAAATAAGAGGCATGTATGACAAACCCACAGCCAACATCATACTGAATGGGCGAAAGCTGGAAGCATTCCCTCCGAGAACTGGAGCAAGACAAGGATGCCCATGCTAACCACTCTTATTCAACAAAATACTGGAAGTCCTAGCCAAAGCAATCAGTCAAGAGAAAGAGAGAAAAAGCATCCAAATAAGAGGAAGTCAAACTATCTCTCTTCACAGACACTATGATTCTATCCCTAGAAAACCTTAAAGACTCTGCCCAAAGGCTCCTAGAACTGATAAACAAGTTCAGTAAAATTTCAGGATACAAAATCAATGTACAAACATCAGCATTTCTATACACCAATAATGTCCAAGCTGAATGCCAAATCAAGAATTCAATCCCATTCACAATAGCCACAAAAACAGTAAAATATCTGGAAATACATATAACCAAGGAGGTAAAAGTTCTCTACAACAAGAATTTTAAAACACTGCCAAAATAAATCAGAGATGACGGAAACAAATAGAAAAACATTCCATGCTCATGGATTGGAAGAATTAATATTGGTAAAATGGCCGTACTCCCTAAAGCAATTTACAGATTCAGTGCTACTTCTGTCGAGCTACCAATGTCACTTTTCACAGAATTAGAAAAAAATATTCTAAAATTCATATGGAACCAAAAGAGAAGCCTAAATAGCCAAAGCAATCCTAAGCAAAAAGAATAAAGTTGGAGGCATCACATGATCCAATTTCAAATTATACTGCAAAGGTACAATAAGCAAAACAGCATGGTACTGGTACAAAAACCGACACATAGGCCAATGGAACAGGTTAGAGAACCCAGAAATAAAGCTGCATGCCTATAACCATCTGATCTTCAACAAAGTCAACAATAACAAACAATGGAAAAAGGATTCGCTATTCAATAAATGGAGGTGGGATATCTGGCTAGCCATACGCAGAAGATTAAAATTGAACCCCTTCCTTTCAGCATACACAAAAATCAACTCAAGATGAAGGAAAGACTTTACTTTAAAACTTGAAAAACAGTAGAAAACTTAGGACATACCCTTTTAGACGTAGGCCTTGGTAAAGATTTCATGATGAAGTCTCCAAAAGCAATTGCAACAAAAACGAAAATAGACAAGTGGGACCTAAAAAAGAGCCTCTGGGCCAGGCGCGGTGGCTGACGCCTGTAATCCCAGCACTTTGGGAGGCCGAGGCGGTTGGATCACAAGGTCGGGAGATCAAGACCATCCTGGCTAACACGGTGAAACCCCGTCTCTACTAAAAATACAAAAAATTAGCTGGGCACGGTGGAGGGTGCCTGTAGTCCCAGCTACTTGGGAGGCTGAGGCAGGAGAATGGCATGAACCCGGGAGGTGGAGTTTGCAGTAAGCCAAGATAGTGCCACTGCAGTCTGGCCTGGGCGAAAGGGTGAGACTCCATCTAAAAAAAAAAAAAACAAAAACAACAGCTTCTGCAGAGCAAAAGAAAGTATACCAGAGTAAGCAGACAATCCACAAAATGGGAGAAAATTATTTACAAACCATGCATCTGACAAACGTCTAGTATCCAGAATCTTTAAGGAACTTACACAAATCAACAAAAAATAAACCTAATACAAAATGGGCAGACACGTCTCAAAAGAAGGCATACAAGTGGCCAACAAACATATGAAAAAATGCTCCACATCACTAATCATCAGAGAAATGTGAATCAATACTACAATAAGACACCATCTCACACCAGTCAGAATGGTTATTATTAAAAAGTCAAAAAATAACAGATGTTGGCAAGGTTGCAGAGAAAAAGGAGTGCTTATACACGGCTTTGGGGAATGTAAATTAGTTCAGCCACTGTGGGAAACAGTTTGGAGATTTCTCAAAGAACTTAAAATAGATCCAGCAATCTCATCACTGGGTATATATCAAATGAATAGAAATTGTTCTACCAAAAAGGCACATCCACACATATGTTCATTGTAGCACTATTCACAATGGTAATGGAATCAACCTAGATGCCCATCAATGGTGTACTGGATGAAGAAAATGTGGTACATATATACCATGGAATACTATGTAGCCACAAAAAAGAACAAAATCATGTCCTTTGCAGCAACACAGATGAAGCTGGAGGCCATTATCCTAAGCAAATTAACACAGGAACAGAAAACCAAATACCACATCTTCTCACTTGTGAGAGCTAAACATTTAATATATGAACACTAAAAGGAAAATAGACACCAGTGCCTACTTGAGGGTGGAGGGTAGGAAGAGGGTGAGTCAAAAAACCAGCTATCATGTGCTATGCTCATTACCTGGGTAATGAAATAGTTTGTACACCATTCCACAGTGACTCACAGTTTACCCATGTAACAAACCTGCACACGTATCCCCTCAACCTAAAACGAAAGTTAAAAAATTAAAAATAATTTTAGTAATAGGAAAGTACAAAGAAATATACAGGGAGGCTCTGTGCAAATTTCACCCAGCCTCTCCCAGTGTTTGGAGATACAATTTTTAAAACCACTGACGTTCGTTTTTGAGAATTTGTAGAGAACAGCAGGAATGGTACCAACAAATCAAATGATGAACAAACATTTTCAGAATTTTCAAAAGTGTTGAGAAGGTAGTTTCTGAAATCTATTCTTTTGTGGTAATGTTAGAGATGTCTGTTAAATTCTAGAAATGGTTAATCAATTTTTGGATTTTTTATGATGCAGCCATACTAGGAACCAGAATAATCTCACTGTGAACAAGTTGGACCATTTACTTTTTTTCGAGAAAATTTCTTGACTGATAAACCAAATTACTCTTTGTCTACATTACATCTGTTTTGTCTAGCATATTTAAAAACCTCTTTTATTATACATCTATTGACAAATTGGTTTTAACTATAGTTTAGTTAGATGAGTTCATAGCAAGATACTAACGAATCAGGATCAAAATGGAAAGTCTGTCTAACAGTGTGTCACAGGGCTTTGCACAAACTAGTGATGACTGAACAAAAATGGAAAATGACTTTGATTTTTGGAAGACTAGGTTGAAACCACCACGATGAATTTTGATTCTTTTAAAAGAACCATACTATAGAACTACAAGGTCTGAGAAAAGCGCTTTAATAGCAATAATTGTAAAAATTTTGGAGTTCTAGTTGATATTTCAATATGAATCATAAGTGGGGAAAAACTGAGTAAGTTTAGCCATTATGCATCTATCGCAAGAGAGGATAAAGTCACACTGTAGTTTGCACTGTCAAAACCTACCTGGAATATCGTGATCAACTACAGGTCCCAATTTTAAGAAGGACATTGACAAATCATTACTCACCTAAAGAAAGGTGGAGCCAGCAATGGTGGCTTATGCCTGTAATCTTAGCACTTTGGAAGGCTGAGGTATGAGGATTGCTTGAGTCCAGATTTTCAAGACCAGCCTGGGCAACAAAGTGAGACACTGCCTCTACAAAATAAATAAAAAATTAGCCAGGCATGGTGGCATGTGCCTGTAGTCACAGTTACTTGGGAGGCTGAGGCAGGAGGATTGCTTGAGCTCAGGAGTTCAAGGCTGCCATGAGCTATGATCACACTACTGCACTCCAGCCAGGGTGGACTCTGGTTCTAAATTTAAAAAAGAGAGACAGAGAGAAAGGTAAGGGTTTTGGATACACTTTTTAAAAAGAGATTGAAGCAGCTGGGTTTATCATAGTTGTCTTCATACATGGGAAGGGCTATGATGTCATAGATTAGAATAATTCTCTGTGGCCTAAGGTGTAGAAATAGTCCCAAAACATGGAAGATGCAATAAATACTCTTAAGTTAATCTAAGGAAAATATTTTACAAGCTAGAGACAGAGGCATCATATTTCAGCAGATCAATTGATTTGAGTGTTTGAAACATAAGGGAAAGATGTGGAAGAAATATATACATTTGGGAATCGGCCTATAGTTTAAATGATACAACTAGAGAGTGTGTGTAGATCAGATGTTCACTTCCCAGGATATATTTCATCCTAGGGTATCTTTAATCAGCTACAGGGAAGCCACATTTTATTTGTATGTGCAATTCTCCAGGGAGATGATCTCTAATTAATAGTTCCCAGTGTTCTAAAGATCCCATAACCATAAAATTTAAACTTTCCTTACATGTAGTCAGACAAAAAAAAACATTGACCAACAAAAGGGCACTTGAGGTGCACTAACTTAAAGTGCAGGTAGAGGAATGAGAAGAAACAACGAGAGAACCATAAGGACAACTGTGTAAAAATACAGTGACAGAATTCAATGAAAGGAAATTTAATGGTGAGAGTGAACAGCAGTTTGAATGCTTTGGAAAGGTTTCACATGACAAAACTCAGAACATGCCTCGAAGAGGTGAGACATACATCTCAAACAAGGTAAATGATATGCAAAGCAACAACACAAGAGCTGTCAGGAAGCCAAGTGGCAGACCAATTTAAAATAAATGGTGCAGAAAAAGCTGTGAGGTCAGAAGAAGGAAAGTTTTAGTGGAGAGAGCTGAAGGTTGAAGGAAACCCTTGTACAGATGGTCGAACATAAGCTAGATTTGCAAGTCATTACACTTGTTATTTTATTCCAATGAATGGTATTTTTATAGTTAAACTTCTTTCATCTTATTCTGTCTCCTGAGTAAAAACACATCCTTCACAGAAGTACCTACATGTTTGAGGATGACTATTACGTCTCTCTCGACCTTCTTGCCTCTAATTTCAAGAATTCTTTCCAATGAAGAGCCCCACAGAACTTGATTAGAAGTCAGGATTTGACTTGAGAGGATATGAAGAGCCTCTTCTAGATTCTGTGTGAGTTGTATCATGACCCCCTGAAAAGTTTCAAGAATAGCATTTTGCATCACAATATTTCATGCAGAAAAGACTGGGAAAAGGAAAATGTAAGTCTCTTATGCTTGGTCTCTGGCCACAGCAGTGGAAATCCAGAGGAAGGGGCAGACCTGAGAAACACTGGCAAGGAAGGATTGCAGAGCTTGGTCATGAACAGGATGCATGATGGCTGAGATAGCAGAGATTGAACTCTCCTTCACTTTGTGACGGTTTTAGCAGCCCCAGTGCTCAGACGGGTGCAACTTGGATTAAAGACCAGCATTCAGTTGCCACATCTTTTTATTACACAAGCAGTACAGGCCTGTAAAAGACAACCATGGAAGGGAATATGAAAACTACAGAGCAAGGAATATTAAAAGAATCTTTTGACTGGATTTTGTTTTCTGGTTTCTGAAATGAAAGTGAAAGTGTCCAAAAGGATCTAAGGTGTCTCTTACAGAGTTTGGTTCAGAAAATCCTCTAAGGATTAGCTTAGGAAGCCCAAGGAACTGTGTGTCAATCCTCTGCCTATCTGTTGTTTGTCATTGTTGTTTGTTTGTTTGTTTGTTTTTTGAGACAAGGTCTCACTCTGCCACCCAGGCTAGAGTATGGTGTGATCACAGGTCACCCCAGGCTCAAGCAATCCTCCTACTTCAGCCTCCTGAGTAGCTGAGACTACAAGAACACACTATTTATTTTTTTTATTTTTTATTTTTTTCATTTTATTTTTAGTTTTATTTTGTAGAGACAGGGTTTTACCATGTTGCCCAGGCTGGTCTTGAACTCCTGGGCTCAAGCAGTTGTCCTGCCTTGGCCTCCCAAAGTGCTGGGATTACAGGCATGAACCACCACACTCAGCTCTCTGTCCATCTCTAAATGGGAACAGGAGAATAAAGAAGTGGGGGAAAAAGGGACACTTCACTCAGAAGAAAGGGCACTAATTATCTGGCACAGGTATCTGAAATGAAATTGACATTTGTTGAGCCTCTACTAGGGATCAGGCACTTAATGTACCTTGTTTACTGTCTTGGTTACTAATAGTCCTTGGAAAGACTCTTTTTCCTATGGAGAAATAAACAGCCTACCTGTACAGGATGCATCTGTCCTCTCTCAGAGAAATAATGTCTCAAGAAAAAGAATCATGAGACTTTAGGGGAAAGGCTAGTTTCAGAATATAATCTGTGCAAAAACGAGGTTGAGGTTAGACCTTATGAGCAAAGCATATTTGTTCACAGTGGATAGAATCATAAGAGATCCTGTGGTCTCCTTCCTCTATGAAGATAATGTACTACTGTCATTATGCCATCCTTTTAAAACAAGGCACCCAGGCCCAGGCAGGAGAGCTTGGAACTATGATGGCAACTTGCTTCCTGCTCTGTGATACCTCCTACCAGTTTTCTCCACCCTGCAAGTCTCCGCCAGAGTTTGTAAACCTGGAGTACCAGTGGCATATTTCACACCCTGACTTCTACATTTTGCAGGAATGTTGGAACGATTTCTACTGTGCATTCTCAGTAGAAATCAACTTGCATGCACTGACTTATTTGACCTCCATATATCTGACATTTTCCATCCCAGTTGAAAAGACAGGACTACTGTATATCACTACAGTTTCCTCAGAGTCCATGAGGAAGACTCAGTAATGGCAGAGAGTGGGTAAACCACCTTCTCTCAGAGATGTAGCACTTGAAAGAGGTTGCTTGCTTCCAGAGCTTGCTGGAAAATAAATGTAGGTATATCCTTTCATGCTGGGTGGATTTAGCTGCATTCCCCAGAAGACTAATATTTCTTCTGAGGGTTATTTTCTTGAAATCCTTATGAATGTTTGAAAAGGGGTCCCTATAGAGAAAACTACCTCAGTCACATGCACAAGGGCCTCTGAATTATGTTGCAATTTCTAGTGTGAATGCTATGTTAGAGTGCAGTATCATGGGTGACGATGAAAATGCACCCAAGTCAAGAAATTTAAATTTATGATTTCAGCAACAGTCTTAACTTTTCCCACTCTCGTATGCTCAGTGCTTTATGTTATTGTAGTTCCAGTGAAATTTATGCCTCAGTGTGCATTGCAAGTGAGTTATGGCTACTCTGGGAATGTTAATTTTGCATTTCCTGACTTCTGTGTGTTCAAAGGGACAAGCTTTCAAAACTGGCCTACAAAATAGCACACCAGACCAGCTGATGCTGTGTACCTCCCTGTGCCTGTGGAATGGGAGTGAGAAGACCTCACGGCTGGGTCTTCTTTGTGTCTATTCCTAGGTCTATATTTTACAGGAGCATGGCTCAGGTGGGGAATGTCCTGCCTTACATGGGCATTCAATCCAGGCAAGAAGTATGAGGCAATGGAAAAGGAAGATCACATGGATTACTTGTTATTTCCTCTTCTTTTTCTTTTTCTTTAAAGACAGGGTCTTGCTCTGTCACCCAGGCTGGAGTGCAGTGGTGTGATCATAGCTTACTATAACTTTGAACTCCTGGGCTTAAGTAACTTGTTGTTATTGATAGCTATCATTTATTGAGCACCTACTCTATGCCAGGAATTGTTCTAAATGTTTCACTTTTGTGTTTCATGTTGCTTTTTATCAACCATTTGAGGCAGGTTTTATCATCCCAGCACTGAGTGAGATAGACAGTCGTAAGTTTGCTCAAGGTCACCTGACTAGTAGAGCCAGAATTCAGATCTAATTTTTTTTTTTTTTTTTTTTTTTTAGATGGAGTCTCACTCTGTCGCCCAGGCTGGAGTGCAGTGGCATGATCTCGGCTAATTGCAAGCTTCGCCTCCCGGGTTCAGGCCATTCTCCTGCCTCAGCCTCCTGAGTAGCTGGGACTACAGGCACCTGTAACCACACCCAGCTAATTTTTTGTATTTTTAGTAGAGATGGGGTTTCACCATGTTAGCCAGGACGGTCTTGATCTCCTGACCTCGTAATCCACCCGCCTCAGCCTCCCAAAGTGCTGGGATTATAGGCGTGAGCCACCGCACCTGGCCTAGATCTAGTTCTACTGACCACAATGTCCATGCTCTACCTGGGGCTTGCCTCTCCAGTCCCCAAGTCCTGAAATGCAATTTCAGCTCAGCCCTCGCTAGCTGTGTAATCTTCACTAGGCCTTTAACCTTGGTTTCTTCATTGGTGAGACAAAGAACATGTTGGCATAAGTAGGATCAAATTTAATTATGACTTTGCTATTTTCATTGCTCTCTGTTAAGGACATCAAGCCCACAATTGTTGGTTCAGCCAAAGAGAAAGGGCCAAGAAAGAAAGGTCTATCTATATTTATCATTGGTTACATGCTAATGAGGGCCAGCATTTTTGCCTGTTTTGTTCATATTTGTCCAGTGCCTCGAGGAGTGCTTAGTATAGAGACATTCAGTATTGTTTGTTGATTGAATAAATTATTTCCATTATGCCATCTCTCACCCCACAGTCTCTCTTCTGTTTCCTATCATCTTGGGCACAGTTGTGTGTTCTGGACGTTGGACATTTTCTGTCTTCTTTCAAAAATCGTCTTGCCCAATCACTACAGCAACTTACTTTCTGCTTAGGAACTGACATCTTGCTCCAGAAACAATTTAGTGTTTCTACTCTTGGGAATTTGCAAAGCAACAGATGTTTTCTGCATACTGTATCTAAACCCACAGCAATTTGAATAGTGAGACTTCCTGATACTGTGCCAGGCTCTGAGGAATAGATTTTGGAGACAGATATTTGGCACCCCTAAAATTTTAGTAGGCCTAGGTCCAGCCTCGTCCATGTCAGTGGCAGTTGGGCCAAATTCACCGAGTCAGACATTCCTGCCCTCAGGAGACCCCACCACCCCACAAGCTGTGGTTTCTAAGAAGCACTGAAGTTTGTATATCCAGCACCTTTGCAATTGTGTTAGTAACTTCTTCTGCCTTATGAAGAAGTTTTCTGAAATGCCTTACCCTTTCTGAAGGAGCTTTTCAGGTTCCAGACATTAATTCTTGTGCTTCTAGGTCCTATAGCCAACAATCAGCCTCAATACCCTTCCAATCATGTCCACATTACCATCCACTAAATTTGGGGCTCTCTGCTGCTTTGTGATATTGTCATCTTTTTCTTGCTCTGCTGGAGCAGATGATCTCAATATCATTATCCTTATGGCAAGGTTTTAAAATTCACTCTTTCTAAAATGACTCATTGGCACTCCTATAAATGGTCCATTGCCTCTAGCTCATGAGGTCTCACTGCACTCTTCATTTCTTAGCAAGGCTGACTTCCTCCCAGAATGCTGTTCTTGCTCCTGATAACTCCTAGACTCCCTCACTCCTCCCCTTCCCAGTTCCCTAAGTATACTTGCTCAGTTTTGTTCTGACATTAAAAAAGGCAAGGTTATGAAACTAGTGAGGAAGTAACTTTTAGTGGTGAAAACAAGACCTTGAGGTATAAATCACAACTTTGCCACTTAATATCTGGGTGAGAGGGAGCAAGTTGTTATTGCTCTTTTAGACCCAGTTTCTCATCTGTTGAGCTAGACAACAATGCCCTTTTTGTGGGGATTGGTCTATCATTGGTAAGTGCCCATTGAATGTTTCTTATTCCTAGTGAATAAGAGTCATACTGCAGATTTCCTGGAAGAAGTATTTTATTGACAATAAAAAAATAATAAAAGAGCTGTCATTCAGATTTTTTTTAAGGGGACTGAAGGGGGAAGAGACTGCAGAAAGAAATATTGTCATAATTGTGAAAGTTACTGTGTTTAGTAATTTGACTTTCTTTGTAATCAATAAAGTAAAGAAACATATTTTGGTTTTTCAGTGTGTTTTTGAGTGTGTGTGTGTGTTTCATTTGAGCTTAAAGTTTCTTTTTCTTGTCAGAAGCAGTAAATTCATTCATCCCTTTCAACAAAATTTTAGAGAATGCCTATTGTGTGTCTTATACTCTGTAAAGTGCTGACTAATGCAGACTCCCATGCAGGCAAAACAGAAAATCACAATGAATGATTATAATTGTGACAAATGCCACCACAGTGTCTCATAGAGAGTTCATTTTTGCGGCCTCCTGCTTGTGTTACAGGAAACGGAAGCATTTATGGGAGATGTTCTGAAGGGGATTTCCCCCTGGCTCTTCTCCCTGTCAGAAGGGGACATCTCCTTTGAAGTGTCTCATATTATGGGAAGACAGAGCTATCCAGAAAGCAACTAGCTGAAGCTTCAGGCAGTTGTAGGGAAGGGAGGGCACTTGGGATTGTTGTCCTAATAATTTAAAGAACCCTCAGAAGATTTCAAAAGCCAGGGAGATGTGTGCCATGAATATGAAGCCAGTTTTTTGGTTTTTGATTTTTGTTTTCTCCACGCATTTGCACAGATGCAGCAGGGATGGATGACGGGTGGTGTGATGTCACTAGTGAATGATATCAAAGGAAAGAGCTCTGGGTAATCACCAGGGCTAGTCTATTTATCTGGATAGACTTGTTTAGACTTGTTTAAGTCTAAATAAGTGTTGTTCGTTAGTTTGTTCTGGTAGCTGAATATATCTTTGGAATCTAAGATTCTATATGCACATATGTACATACATGTCCCTTTACGGGGATTCCTTGTTCTTCAGCTAAATGCCATCTAACAACAAGCTAATTGAAAACAGTCTCAGTATCTAGGTCAGTGAATTAAATGGATTCCATGCCACCACCCATCCCCAACACAACACACATATACACACACACTGACACACTGCAGATACATTCTTTCTTTTTTCTTTTTTTTGAAGATGAGATCTCCCTCTCTTACCCAGGCTATAGTGCAATGGTATGATCACAGCTCACTGCAGCCTCAAACTCCTGGGCTCGAGTGATCCTCCCACCTCAGCCTCCTCAGTGGCTGGGACTACAGGCAAGCACCACCATGCCTGGCTAATATTTTACTTTTATTTTGTAGAGACGGGGTATTTCTATGTTGCCCAGGCTGGTCTTGAACTTTGGGACTCAATAAATCTTCCCACTACAGCCTCCAAAAGTGCTGAGATTACAAGTGTGAGCCACCCGCCATACCTGTCTCAGATACATTATTTTAGCAACCTTTCCTCGTTTAATTTTTGCGATAGTCCAAATTCTAAATGTTCTGCTTAATTTTTGGACATTGTGTCAAACCATGTGTCCTGATTTGGCACTTACAATTATACAATCTTTCCATGAATATTAAATCTCAGTATTTCTCTAGGACATTCAACAGTTTCTTTAGTGGCATTGCTTTGCTGTCCCAGTAGTCCTGGTTTTCTTTTTGTCCTTGGTAGCCCCCATCAACTCTGCTTTTCAATATTCCCTAATGAAATACCTCTCCAGGGATTGGTAGTTCCCACCCTGATGTCACCATCTGACCCTAGAGACCTAAAGTAGTGTTACAGTGAGTAAGGTCGGAGTATGACAAGACAACCCTCTGGAGGTCATCCCAGTTCTGTAGTTTGTCTCCAGGTCCTTCTCATGAGTGGATCGTGAATAGCCAGGAAAGTAGAGGTTAGCTATTCCTATGATCTGAAGTTCTCCAATCTAATTGTGAATCTTGTTGTGCCACCTTGAATGAGTCACCCAATCCTCTGTGGCTCAGAGGATTGGGTATCCTCTGAAAAAGGGGGATACGATTTGTACCAGCTTCATGGTGTTGCTGCGAGGATGAGGTGAGTTAATACATTTAATTAGACCAGTGACTGGAAAATAGAAGGCACGATATAAGTATCTTCTTTTAATGTTATTACTGCTACTATCACTACTATAATTTATCAGTATTAGTAGAAGTGCTAAGGTGCAGTGACACAAGCCCTCTTAGAAAGCTCATATGAGCACAGGAAGGAAAGAAGAGAGAAAGTAAGAAGGCAACTTTAACAAAGACCAAAGCACTCCTTTTCCCTCCACACTGAACTACAGGTTAATGATGAGGTTATCATGACCCGGTTGGATCGCAAGGGCTGTTCCAGCAGCTGACATCTGTTCTAGAACCTATCCTTTTTTCTCCTTGTTTGCCTCTGCTTGTATGGTCACCTCACCCCGCACCACATTGCTAGCTGTCTCTCTTTACTCTGACTCAGCCAGCAGGCATCTCAAAACTCAACACAGGGAAATCCACAGCCAAGCATCACAACTTTATCTCTTGTCTTTTCTTCTCACTCTTTGTGGTACAACGTTCCTTCCAATGCAGTTGTGGGTCTCTATTAACACTTCTGTGGCTTTCTCCCCACCCCATCAACTCTGTAACCAATCACTACATATGCACTGTAATTTAGGCTGGAATCTGAGCTTTGACTTTTACCAAGAAATTATGTATTTCTAAATATTGGCCTTTGGTTCTACTACTTGGGTCTAAAGGACATGTTCACATATTTCCTGTCTATTCAGATGACTGGTAACTTGGGTGATTAAATGTTTTTCAGATTGTTTTATTTTACTTAAACTCTAACCTCCTTCTCTAATGCTTGAATTATTTTTTTTTCAAGGGATTGGCCAATTTGTGTTTGGTTGTCTAGGGAAAAAAGTGTCTGAGAGCGATTAGATGAAGCCAACTTGCTTTCAGAAAATGTAATTTTCTTAAGATACTAGAGCATGATGACTTCCTTTCTTTGACACAAATATGCCTTATCTAGACCTACTAATGAGATTAACCTAGAAAATGGACGTGCAAAATGGGGAGTTTGTTTTAAACTTTGACATACACCAGTTGAAAAAAATTCTGAGAAATTTTTAACTAAAAAAAATTCAAGCCAGGTACAGTGGTGCATGCCTGTAATCCCAGCTACTCAGGGGGCTGAGAAGTGATGATCACTTGAGACCAGTATTGGAGGCCAGCTTGAGCAACATAGCAAGAGCCTTTCTCTAAAAAAGACATTCAAGTGGTAACAGAGAGCAATTTAGTAAAAATCATTACATTCAGAATTTTCAAATATAAAAAGAAAAAAAGAAAATGCTAGCTAAGGGAAAATAAAAGCAGCTTGCAGTCCACAGTGACTGCCAGTGTCAAGCAGGAACTTCATTGGCCTTGGACAGGGTGTTCTAGATGTCACAGTGTCAGGCAATCAACAGACGGCTGTCTGATAACTGTAACTTTTGCCACAGTCCCTGGTCACAGCAGCTGATGTGAAGGATGTATGATGAAAGTGTGTACATTATTAGGAATGCAGAAGTTAGAACAGCCAAATGCTAAATGGCAGGTGGACAGACAAAAAAAAAAATGTGCTTTTATTCTGTTCCAAGGTGCTTAATTTTGGTTAATCCTTTGCTTTCTACTGATCACACACAACCTTCTTCAATTCTAGACACCATTGCATATGGGCACTTAACACTTTTAAATATACTATGTATTGTGTCTTACTTATTTTATTTTCTGTTCCTTATCCCCCACTACTGTTGTGGGAAGTCAGGGACCCCGAACGGAGGGACTGGCTGAAGCCATGGCAGAAGAACATAAATCATGGACATTTATTAGTTCCCCAAATTAGTACTTTTATAATTTCTTATGCCTGTCTTTACTGCAATCTCTGAATATAAATTGTGAAGATTTCATGGACATTTATCACTTCCCCAATCAATACTCTTGTGATTTCCTATGCCTGTCTTTACTTTAATCTCTTAATCCCATCAACTTTGTAAGCTGAGGAGGATGTATGTCACCTCGGGACCCTGTGATGATTGCGTTAACTGCACAAATTGTTTAAACAATATGAAATCTGGGCACCTTGAAAAAAGAACAGGATAACAGCGATGTTCAGGGAAAAAGAGAAATAACCATTAGGTCTGGCTGCCTGAGAGCTGGGCAGAACAGAGCCATATTTCTCTTCTTTCAAAAACAAATAGGAGAAATATCGCTGAATTCTTTTTCTCAGCAAGGAACAGCCCTGAGATATAGAATGTGTGGCTAGGGGTAGGTCTCTAAAATGGCAGCTTTGGGAATGTCTGTCTTTTACTTTTATAGATAAGGGATTAAATAAGCCCTGGTCTCCTGTAGCACTCCCAGGCTTATTAGGACAAGGACATTCCCGCCTAATAAATTTTGGTCAGACCGGTTGTCTGCTCTCAAACCCTGTCTCCTGATAAGATGTTATCAATGACAATGCGTGCCCGAAACTTCATTAGTAATTTTAATTTCGCCCCAGTCCTGTGATCTCGCCCTGCCTCCATTTGCCTTGTGATATTTTATTACCTTATGAAGCATGTGGTCTCTGTGACCCACACCCTATTCGTACACTCCCTCCCCTTTTGAAAATCACTAATAAAAACTTGCTGGTTTTGAGGCTTGGGGGGCATCACGGAACCTGCCAACATGTGACATCTCCCCTGGACACCCAGCTTTAAAATTTCTCTCTTTTGTACTCTTGCCCTTTATTTCTCAGACCAGCTGACAGGGAAAATAGAAAAGGACCCATGTTGAAATATCAGGGCTGAATTTCCCCCGATACACTACAATGTAAGCTCAGTTAGAGCAGGGGAGTTCCATCTGTTTTGTTCACTCCTATATCTCTCACCCAGAATAGTTAGTGCCTGGCACATAGTAGGTGCTCAATAAATATTGGTTGAGCAAGCATGTGATTTCCTTGCAGTTCCACAAACAAAACACTACTCACCTTAACCTCCAACAGAATACCCAGATTCCAGACACAATGATCTTTCTTAGAATCATGGATCTTTTGAGCCTAAAGAAACTAGGAGGTTCTACAGTCCAATCCCTTAATTTTACTGATAAAGAGGCTGAAGTCCAGAGTTTCAGCGGATTGCTCCAGCACATAACAAATCAAACAAATAACCAGGAATAGAAATTGAGACTTCTGGCCCACTGCTCTTTTTCCATTAATTTCAGCATAAACCCATTCCCATTGCTGAAATAGCAGTGGCCTCATCCATCATAGGAGCATAACCCTTGGGAGTTCTCTTGGGTGAAGAGCTCCATGACACTGAGCCTGCTCTGGGATCGTTTTGGTGGCTCATATGTTTTCCCAGTCGAAGACAATGAATTCCATGTTGTTGAAAGCTTTCATTCTACCTTCAAGTCTTCAGACACGCAGATTCTCCTCTCCCTCCCTCCACCAGATTCTAGCTCAAGCTCTACTCATCCCATGAAGTTTTGCCCCTTGAATCCAGCCCATATTGATGTCATGTTCCTCTGCTTTGCTGTAGTTGTAATAGGATGATAAATCCAAAGGCCTGTAGAGGCCAATTTAGTAAAGTAAATAAAGAAAACTGCCCAGGGTGAGAAATGAAATCCCAGGATCACTAGATCCTTCCACTTTTAAAGAAGCTATAGTTTCCCAGAGTTAAGTTCCCACCGTCACTGATCTCTTTAGCTTTTTGCTCCTTCCTTTCAGGAATTCAAAGGAAGAATGTGGTCTCCAGGGGCATTCCCAGCCCTACCATCTCCCCTCTGGGTGCCCTCCTTCACTGCAGTTCACCCTGTAGACTTTATTCACATCACCACCAAGGTGATTCCCTGACAATGTGAACCTCAGTGAGAGGTGAACAGAGAGGACTCCCTGCTCCTCCTCTTTCAGACCCAGGAGCTGTCTTTAGCCCCATTCTGAAGACCACCCTTTTCCTGTATTTCCATCCGGGCTTTGGTCAAGTAAGCATTCCTAAATCCCTTAGAGATGAGGGCTCTTCTCCTTTCTGGGTCTAGGGCTACATCATTTTGCCTTCAGGTTTGAATTGCTGTTCCTTCAGCCTCATTTCTCACTGATTGCACTGTTTTCCCTGGAGATGGCTTTGAGGACATCCTGGAGGAGCCGTGCTGGGGTGTCAGCCTGCCACCCTCCCCTGGGCAGCTGCCCTGCCTGCCTTCTTAACCTCACGTTGGACTTTCCTGTTTTCTCTCCCTTTCATTCATCTTTGCCAAGAGATGATTCTTTTAACACCCTGACTCTGGATCAAATTGTTTTCTATCTCCTGAAGCTTCTCTTCATTTGAGCTTCTCTTCACTTTTGACTTTTTTTGCTCATCGCTATTTGAAAACGGAGCTATTTCTACTTCTTTGAATTCTGAATGTTCTTCTAAGGGATCCAAATAACCATCAACATGTAAGAAAAGCTGTCTCTGTCTTTCTCTGAGTTCTTCTCTAATCACTGAGAGAACTATAGGATATACACAGTCATCTTTGAAAAACCCATCTCTTGGGTAGTCTCTTGACCTCCCAGTCCCTTTGTAGGAACATCTCTGCTGAAGCCTGTCCCTAGCATAGACAGGCTGTTCTTGCTTTAGAGCCTGAAATGTGTGCGTCTCTTTTCCTTGACTCAGAAGAAATGAATTTAAGAGATACATATTGTTTTAATCAAAAACTTTTTTTCATTTAACCAGTAATACAGATAGTTTCAAGCTATCATCCTTTCTCTTCTTCCCTGGGACAAACATCACTTATTCCAGTAAGCAGGAAAGATATTTTATGGCTTCAATGACGCACATTTTATCAAGCTGTCAACTAAACTTTGTGAATTATTTGTATGGAGTATTTTGGTGTTGATGTCTGGGGGCAAGGTCAGGTCAGGATTGCTAAAGACGAGACTAGGAGACTTCATCAACCAGATTGTGAAGATTCTTGAATACCATATAAAAGGGTCTGGAATTTTACCTAGAGAGAACACATACATTTAGGTAAGAGTGCTAGGTTTTAGAATAAAATAATGTGATGGCAGGAAGGAAGATGATTTTTAAAGATAGAAACTAGGATTAGGAAGACAAGCCATGGTCATGGATACAGAAAATAGTGACAGATTTGAGGGAAAGAATTGGCAGGATTTGAGGTAGGTGAGGAAAAGGGAGGGATTCTATTTGGTGGGGGGGATTTCAGATATAAAGAGAAAGATGGATGATTTGAGAGCAGGATGGTTGCTCTAAAGGTAAACTTTCAGATGGTTCTAAAGTCATCTCTGCAGTAGGCTATTTCTTCAGAGGTCTAGTGGACTTCTCACAGACCACCAGGAGAACAAATGAAAAGTCTTGGTGGCTGAGGCCACCTCCTTTCCCCACTTTGTAAAACAGGAGGAATATAAGGGTGCCTTCATGGGATAACTGTTCACAAAGCTATCTGAACTCTGGTTAGAAACACAAAGAAATTATAAATGTTTGAGTTGATTGATATGCTAATTACCCTGATTTGATAACTATACATTATACATATCAAAACATCACTATGTACTCCATATATATCTGCAATTTTATGTGTCAATTAAAATTTTTTAAAAATCTGTTAATTAGAGTCTATTGGAAATTTCACTACTGGCATTAAAAATCAGAGCCTGTGCTGCTGAAATTTATATTCTCCACTGGTAACCTAGGAATTGAAGTGCTGTTCAAGTTTTCAAAAACAAGCATGAAGCATTAAGAAAAATGCAATTGTCAACAGAAGGAAGTAAAATAGAAAGTAGATACAACTCCCTATGATCAGCCTGAGGTAGAGTCAGACCCTGGCCAAACCCACAGCAAACTTCATAAATTTAAAAATAATTTTCTAAGTGCTTACAAATCCATTGTATTATGATCTTTTTTTAAAAAGGAAAAGTCATTTTATCCCCCTGTTATCTAATGCTATCTATCATCTAATAGATACTCTTGAGGAAAAACATCTGTTAATACCCCTGAGCATTCTTCATTGTACCCTAAACACATGAGAATTCCCTTTCGTAAGTAATTGACCTTCATTATCATTGTGACATTATTCTTATTCTGGGAACCAAGCTCTCTGATTGGGAGTCCCACCCTGGGTTAACCTTAGTCCCTATGGTTCCTTCCTTTAGCCAAGTTTTTGTTTGTTTTGTTTTGTTTTGCTTCCAGGACTCTCCACCATCCCATTCATGTACCCCTCCCGATAGGGGGTTAGTGGCCACACCTGGCCTGCAAACCTGAAGATTTAAGATGCACAGTGTCGCTATTTGACCTTCATTTTTGGAGGCTATAGGATTTTAGAGTGATAGCTTTTCTCTTTCAACACTCTAAAGCTGTTCTATTTTTCTTTTCTGGTTTGCATTGTTTCTGATGAGGTCTGCAGTTTCCCTTATTTGTTTCATAGTATTATTTATTATTGTAAAGTTTCTTCTTTCCTCTGGCTGTTTGTAAGATTTTATTTTATCTTCTCTTTCTAGTAATTTTATTATGATGTATATTTATGTGGTTACTATTCTGGGGAGTTTGCCAAGATTCTTAGATCTGTTAGGTTACAGTTTTCAAAAAGTGTCAAACAATTTGTCCATTGGTTCTTCAATTTTTTTTCTCCTTCTACCTTGTTTTGGACTTCAGTAATATATATGTTAGACTAATTATTATTGTCCTATGGGTCGCTGGCTCTCTATTTCTTTATTTTTTTTCAGTCTTTTTAAATATCTATTCCTCAGTTTGTATAACTTCTATTGCTCTATCTTTAAATTTACTAATTTTCTCTTTTACAGTATCTAATCAGCTGATAATTCTGTCTAGCATGCTGATAATTCTATCCATGGAATTTTTTTTATTTTCATAATTTTTAGCTGTAAAAGTTCTGTTTTATTCTTTTTCAATCTTCTATTTTTCTCATTAGTTTCATGGTTATTCCTCTAAATCTATCAACATATTTATGAAAGCAATTGTAAAGTCTACTAAATTGATCATGTCTGTTATTTCTGGATCTATTTCTGCCATGAATATTTCTCCAGGTTATACTGAACATTTTTCTTTACATACCTCAACATTTTTGTTTGGATGTTGAATATTAAATTATCAGGTCTAGATTTTGTTGTCTTCTCCTTAAAGAACATTGAACAATTTTGTTTTGGCAGATACTTAAGTAATTTGCAAATCAACTTGATCCTTTCAAGTCTACTTTTAAAATTTTGTTAGGTCAGATCTAGAGTAGCCTTTACCTTAGAGTTGGTTCAGCTCTAATACTAAGATATGATTCTTCTGGAGTCTCTCCTGAATATCTGAGTTTCTAATGCATTGTCTCTAAGAACTTTAATGTCTCCCAACCCTGTGTAAGCTCTAGGAATTTGTCAGATTAAAACTCACCAGTAGTTTTGGCATACTATGTATGACAGTTTCACCCACACATGTCCAGTGTACTACGGGCATCAGGTCAAGTGGACTTAGATGCAGAGTTCTGAAGTTCTACTTCTGTATACGTTTCTCTCCTCAGGTACTCTGTCATCTGAATTCCAACCTCCTTTGCCTCCTCTAATTTCAGCATCTGTATTTTAAGTTAAGGGAGAACTTCCTGCTTTACTTGAATTTCTTTCCTTGTCCCATGATCTGGACATGCTTCTAGGTAGAAATCCAGAACCAATGCAGGGCTCACTGCATTTACCTTTTCTCATGGATCACAGTCCTGAACTTCATTTTATCAAAGATCTAAAAACAGCTATTTCATATTGTTTTTTAATATTTTATTTATGATGCAAAGGCAAGTCCAGTAGAAGTTACTCTGATATGGCCAGAAGTGGAAATCTTATCTGCATAATGTATTAAAATTCAAGATTTACATAAAAATCCATATATATATATATATATATATATATATATATATATATAATCTCTTTTTGAAAAGTAGAAAGATCTAAACAGTTCTACCTTTCATGAAATTTATTGACTGAAGTTGATTTGCAAGTGTCCACTTCTTGGTTGAATATGCATGCCCAAGTTTTCTCATTTCCACCAAGATAATGTCACTCATTTTGCCTGCTGCTTTTATTCTATAACTACAACCACAAATTTATTCTATAAAGTAATACTAGTCAGTATTTTTGATCAAATGATGACAATCTTTCCAATGCAGGTAAAAAAGCAAAACTTTAAAATGATAGCATTTTATACAATATTCCAAAACATATACCATCAAGCGTTACAGGAATATGCAAGATATTATGGTGGCACAAAGATAGCAATGAAACACATTTTGAATTGAATAACAATTTTTAAGTATTTTGAGATGGCAATATTGAAGAGGAAGCTATCTAGCTACTTGTTTACCTGTAAGATAAATATGGTGAAAAGAAATTGTTGGAAGATGCTTACTAATGCACAGTTGTTAGCATATTGTTCCCAAAATGGCATTGATGATGATCATTAATCATGACTAGTTTGGCTGTTTTCATCCAAATCCTGTCCTATACTCTTTACTAAATCTGGATGTCCTGTTTTTGCAGCCCCATTAGCCTTCCAGATCCTTAGACTTAAACCTGCAGTCAATTTTTTTTTCTCCTTCCTCTTGATCCTTCCTATCCAGTAAATTGAGATTACTGACTTGAGGCTGGATGCTGTGGTTCACGCCTGTAATCCCAGAACTTTGGTAGGCTGAGGCGGGCAGATCACTTGAGGTCAGGAGTTCGAGACCAGCCAGACCAACATGGTGAAACCCTGTTTCTACTAAAAATACAAAAATTAGCTGGGTGTGGTCGTGGGTGCCTGTAATCCCAGCTACTCGGGAGGCTGAGGCTGGAGAATTACTTGAACCCAACAGGAAGAGGTTGCAGTGAGCCGAAATCACACCACTGTACTCCAGCCTGGGTGACAGAGGTAGACTCCATCTCAAAAAAAAAAAAAAAAAAAAATTACTGACTTGACCTTGACCTTCATAGTTTCTCTCCTATCTCTTCCTACTCTTTGTATTACCGATGTCTATCTTTGCTCAGTCCCTGCTTCCCCAGCTAGTTTCCACAATAAATATTGCCAAATATTAATCTTCCTAATATAAACTGGTGTCATATTACTTCCCTGGTTACAAACCTTCTGTGTTTCCTCATGGTTTATAGAATGAACTAAAAACTTCCTAGTCTTTCAAGGTCTACCACAATTTAGCCACAGACTTGCTCTCATCTTATTTCTTACTATTCTCATTTATGTATATTACCTCTAAGATATCAAGAAATGTTAATTAGAGCTGAAATAAATATGTATCCTAAAGAGGCCTCGAATCTTTCAAATTCCTCCTTACTTTGTCCATGCCATTGCCTCTGTTTGATGTGTTTATACCAGTATTTTATGGGTCCAAACTCTACTGTTACTCAAAATTCAGCTCAGTTACTAACCCGTATATATCTTCCCCATTTCCCCCATTTTAAAGCTTTTCTTCTGACTATGGGACAACTTTAGCAATTTATCTGTTTGTATTGAGTTGCAACTTATCACTTATTACCTTGTATTATTGTTATTTGCATACACATATATTCTTACATGTCTTGATAATGGATTATTTCCCTGAAGGCAGGATTCATGTTCATTATTCTGTCCTTTACATCCCCTTGCATGGTACCTTGTTGGTCCTTGATAAATATTAAGAGGATGAATACTTCTCTGAGTTCTGTGATGCAGTCTTCTAACACTATCACTTTCATTGCAAGTAAATATGTTGGTTACCAGAATAATCATATACATTTAGTATTTTTTCCTTCCGTTTACTTTTTAATATTCACATATATTCACGTTTATTATGGTAATATCGAACTCTGACATTGTCCTCAGTACAATTTTGTGTTTTATAAGGGGCCTGATTTGAAAAAAAGAAGGAAGAGAAACCAAAGATCTGAAACCCACAGGCTCTTTTCTTAATCATGAATCTTGGCAGTGAGAGTTGCAATATGTTGCCACCTATTAATTAAATCTGTACTCTGGTGAATTGGCCAAGAGAGAGAACATTAAAAAAAAAAAGAAAGAAAATAACTAAGAAGGATGAGGAGCATAATAAGTCTAGGAAACCACTTGAGTAATCAGAAACTTTCATGTAGAAATACCCCGGCCATACCTTTTTCCTAGGGGCTGTGAGAAAACTGCAGGGAAGTCTGAAGGCCAAGAAAGAACCTAAAATTTTGGCTGGTGAGTCACCACTAAAATATTACATAGCCTCAAAACATGTTAATAAATAACACTGAACCAAAAGTAAGAGCCAATTATGAGCTTAATCAGAAACAGAGAGTAAGATATGGATGAAATTTTAGAGACCATCTAGATTTCAGAACATTGCTAATCATTACTGAAAAACAGATCTCTTGGAACATCTGTTGACAGCTATGAACCCTGCCTTTAGGAAAATGCACATAAAAACAAAATTAGTCTTAGGTTGAGATCTTTTGATTCAGAGCACATTTCATCATTAAAGGCATGAAAAACACATTTCGGGAAGAGCTGGCAATCAGCTCAAGATCACATAGGAAGTTAGTGACAGGGAGGTAGTGTCTGAAAAGTGCCTACAGAACTCAAGCTCCTGTCTTGGGATTCATCCAACACATTTTCTCTCATGTGTAGTAGCATTCCATGCATAAAGTAATCGATTTTATTTGAGTAAAACTTGCTTAGTTTTTTGCTTTCTAGAAGGGAAACCAAAATAAAAATGTAATGTCTTTTGTGCTAGGCACTATACTGGGTCCTTCCACATGTACCATTTTACTACTCCCACAGCCATAGATAATATTCTTATTTCACAACGAGGAAATGAATATTAAGAGAGATTAAGGTGACTTTCCCAAATCAATACAGATACTATAAAATAGGGTTTAGATATGAAGCCATAGCTCTACCTCAGTTTTGGTGATTTCTTTTTTCTATGCCTCCTTACCTTTCACTCTGCTATGCTGATTCTCTGGGAAGGCTTTTTTTGATCTGGCAAATGAAATAAGGCTTACTGATACTACTACAACAAAAATGATTGCACACATTTAAAGACATAAGAACTTTATATAGAAAAGCCACCAACAGAACTGTTTGGGAATGTCTGTATACCTTCTCTGGCACAATTTTTCCAGTTATTATTTGAGCTAAGTGTACCCATTTCTTTCCTCCCTGTTTAAAATATTATCCAGCACTGACCACACAGCTGGTAGAACTGTTTTGGAGAACCACCCATTAATATGTACCAAAAGCCTTAAAATTTTGCCTGCATTCTGTCCTGGGAATTCTACTTCTATTAATTTATCCTAAGGAAATCATTGACCAACAAATAGCCAACAAATGTATGAACATGAATGTCTAAAATAGTTTATTATGACTTAAAAATTATAATATGAAACAAACTAGGGATCTAGAAATAGAAAAGTATGGCATATTCATACAACGTTAAATATGCAGCCATTAGAAGTGATGTTGTAGATATATGTTTATTGAAATGTAAATATTCTCATGGTGTAATTTCATAGCTAAGGGTTGTATTGTACCTGAATTATTGTTTTTAAACTCTATTACATGACCATGTATTATTGACCTATTATTGATACATATATACATTGTTTCCATTTTTTAATGTACTATAATGATCTTCATGTGGGATCTAGGCAGTGACTCTACCTTGTTCACTTCTTTTCCAAATACCTTTCCTTCTAAAGAAAGGGGTCTCTATGCCTTTACTTTCGTCTTATGGGAACTTCCCTATGTGGCAATTTACATTCTATCCACACTACTGATAATGGTAAAACCTTATCATCTAGGTTAGTCAGATTTAGCACTTGAAATACAAAAGAGAGATTATGAAACTTAGAAACTCTCTTCCCCACTCACCAAACCTTGGCTTCCAAGACAATTTCTTTGCTGTGGAATCAAAAATTCTATTTTTGAAGTAGAAATCTGAATATTGGCTCTTTCTCTTTGAGCTTCTGCTTTAAAATCTTAATTTGTCCCCAGATCAATGGAGGCCTCCACATGAATAGGTTACAAAGATATGGGAAAAGATAAAAGTATATTTATTCATATTTTAGCACACCAACATGGTGCATGTATACATATGTAACAAACCTGCACATTGTGCACATGTACCCTAGAACTTAAAGTATAATAAAAAAAATTAACCCCATTAATCATTAACTTTATTGTTTAATTTGAAAGGGAGAAGGATCTTTATAATGAGCTTTTCTATACAAGCACATGCTGTATCTTTTAAATTAGTTAGGTCTTCTTATATATCCTAAAATATGTTATAATTTTCTTCACAAACATACATTTATTATCACATTTATTTCTAGGCAGCACAGAGTGGTGGTTGCTGTTGTGTGATCTTTTCCTTCTCCATTTTATTTTCAAATTATTGACAGTGTTTTGGAAAATAACTTATTTTTTAAGTTCATCTTGTACATAGCTGCCTTGTTGAAATCTTTTATTTATTATTTTTGTTTGTTTGTTTTTGAGACAAAACAAACAGAGTCTCTTTCTGTTGCCCAGGTTGGAATGCAGTGGAGGGATCATGGCTCACTGCAGCCATGACCTTCTGGGCTCGGGTGATCCTCCCACCTCAGCCTCCCAAGTAGCTGGGACTACAGGTGCACACCACCACATCCAGCTAATTTTTTGCATTTTTTATAGAGAAGAGATTTCACCATGTTGCCCAGTCTGGTCTAGAACTCCTGGGCTCCAGTGTTCCACCAGCCTCAGCCTCCCAAACTATTGGGATTACAGGTGGGAGCCACCACTCCTGGCTGAAATATTTTATCTTTTCCAATCTTTTTCTTAGACATTGTGAGTGATTCTTCTCTTGTATGCCCTAGATAGACAATAGTGACTATCTTATCTCTTTCTTTTTAATATGTGTTTCACTTATTTCTCATTGTGTGTTTTACATTAGTTAGAACCTTAGGGAAAATAAGAAAGTGTTGAAGTGTAGCTGTGATATAGGATAACTAGATCACTTTTTTAAGCTTAAAAAAACCCCTTTACTATAAATGGCTAATAGTTTACAATTAGGTGTCATGTTTCTGTTAGTTATCCATCCAGGCTATGGGATTTTCTTTCCGTTCCAAGTGACAAAGTATTTTAATTTTAAAAAGAATCAGAAATGGGTGGTATCTATCATTAAGATAATCATGTTTTTTCTCCCTTAGCTTTTGGTCTATTGAATTACATGGATGGATTTCCCAATGTTCAAACCTTCTTATATTCCTCAGTAAATCCTAATTGGTCACAGTATATTATTAGATTTAACTTGTGAATACTTTGGTATTTTGTATCATAGCGTTTGCTAGCAAGACTGGCCTATAGTTGGGATGATGTCCATCAATTTCTATGCTTTGGAATAGTTGATGTAACATAAGAATTACATTCTCCTGGATATTTTGGTACACTATAATGCCAAGGGAGAAAAGCAATTTATTGACCATTATGTATAATATGATCCATTCTTGAAAATACAAATACACATATGACAAAATCTGAAGGAACATATCAAAGGTTAATAATATTTCTGAGAAGCTTCATTATTGTTGTTTTTTCTTGCTTTTTCTCAACTATAATTTTTAGTATGTCTATAGTGGATGCAGACATTCTGGGGGAAATATAGGAGGGTCAAATGTTATATGGGGTAGAAATATAAAAAGCATGGTAGTTAGAAGCCACTGATTCTGGGAATATGCTCTGAGCTCTCCAAGCAAGAGCATCTTGCACTAAAGATTTCTGTGCCAAACTCTCTGCTCCAGATAACAGATCCCCGTTTCCAGAACCTGCACCCTATATCTGTACTCACCTCCAAATTTTGACCTGGCTCCTGCTAGTCTGACCCTTTTGTAGACCTTCTGATACCAGTCTCTTTATAGATACTGCATTTTTTTCTGACGTTTGGGCATCTTTTGGCTATGGCAGTGCCCCCTGTACCCACTGTCCTCTCATGGCTTCATTCATGTGGTCATAACTCATCTCACTGCCTCTCAGTTGGGAGCTGACACTTGATTTGGTAAAGGAAACAGTGTGAGAGTGTCTGGGTCTCCTTTCTTTAGCCTTATATCAAGCTCTTTCTCAGATATATACTTTGCTTCATCTGAATTAAAAAAAAAACCCATGAGGAATCATGGCTACTAACTGAAATTTACTTTTATTTTTTGACTTGAAAGCAAAACAGTGATTTTCCCCAGTGAGTCTATCGATACGGGATAAAGTACTGTAGCTTCAGAGTTCTTATTTGGTCTTTCCAAAGTTTTATACTTTAGAGTTAGGATTCTCAGTAGATTTTCCAGTCATTTAGAAATAACCCAGGGCAGCAAATATGATCTGCTTTAATAGGATGAACGAGTTTAGGCTACAGCACATTGCAGCTTGGGGAATCCTGCTCACCTTATCTATCCCTCTCTTTATGGTCTGCGGATACCGCATGGTGAGTATTCTCAGAATTGCCAAGTCTGCAAACATACTGCCACTTAAAGCAGTCTCCTTGGTCAGAAAGGTGCTTTCTCCCATATGTTCTCAGAGGACTGATAGAGGTGTCCCCCTGGAGTTATGAAAATTAAGTCTTCCCTTCTTTCTAGTCATTTGACATAAGGCAATTTTAGTCTCTGTGTCTCATGTTTAAGGGCCTTCCTCTGAAATCTGAAAAACTCGTTTTAAATTGTTAGGGTGTTGCAGTTTCTTACCATATTTCAGGCAAAGTTCTTCCCACTCGGGTCATCAGCCTCACCTTTGTGGGATTCCAAATTGAGTGGCAATACAGTGTAGCAGTTAAGAAAATGGACTCTAGAATGGATTGCCTGGGTTCAAAATGGCCACCACAACTTTAATTGTGTCTACTTGACCAAATTAATTTTTCTTTTTTCACCCTTCTTTCTCAATCTGTAAAATTGGGGAAAATAATAGCACCTACTTTATTATGTTGTTGGGAAATGTAAATGAGAAAATTTTTTAAAAGTTCTAAGCAAGAGTGTCTGGCATATGGCAATTTGTCAGTAAGTGCTATCTCTTCTTATTTTCATCAAGTGAAGGTGTACCCAAGGCAATGTTCAGAAACATTGGCTCCTGGCACAGGAGTCATGCCCCAACCTCATTGCTCTCATTGTGCAAACACACCTTCCCTGTCCATTGCAGAATTCCATACCTGCTCCACAGGCTCACAGTTTTGCTCTCCATAGCATCAGCTGAGAATCTGAAAACAAAACATCCTGTTCTCATAGTTTTTCAACCTCTTCATCTTCGGTGACCTTCTCTTTCGCTCATGCCTTGCCATCTGCACTCATAACCACACTGATTATCACTAGAAACTGTATCATCTTTTAATTTGTTAATTGATGCTCACTTCCTAACACAACATCCGCCCTTCCTCTTAACTTTCTAAAATGTCCTCACC